>NC_000015.10:87047338-87198853 GCF_000001405.40 Homo sapiens | reverse complement strand
CTGGTAGTAGATAAAAACAAATATAAACTCCTCAATTACAAAGCCCAGACCAGGAAAGAATGCCATGAAATCACTCAAATTGGCTTTGAGGATGTAGGGAAGGCTTCCTAGAGACGAGCATATCTGAGAAACGGGATACGGGTAGAAAAAAGTCAAGGATCATGCAAGTTAAGGTGAAGTGAGGAGCAAATGGGGTTAAGTGAAATTTCTAGGAGAACAAGTTGTGAAAATGTGATACCAGTGCCAAGAGAGGTCACATTAACAGGTGCAATGGACTGCAGAGTCAGAGAGATGGAAATGGGGTGGTATGCAAGGTTAAGAGTAAGAGTCATGACTCCAATCAAAGTGCAGGGAAGAGTCAGGTGAGTGATCCTAACAAGTTGCCTTGGCAGTAAGAGCCCACTTAGTCTGTTCTTAAAATGGCAATTGGATGTGACATCTCCAGAACCATGTCATGAGATCTGACTCCATATACCCTGGTCCAATTCCGAGCCCTCCAGTAGATGGAATCTTCGCTAAGAACCAAGAAATTGTGAAAATTTGCAGTGTGTCAGGGAATTTGGCAGTAGAAACTGGATCTTACATTTGATGTATGGTGTCATTATATATTCCAATGTATGAAATTTGGGATCAGGCTATTTTTGATATAAGGGTCTAGCATAGCTTGAAGTATAAATTAACTCTTCCTTGAAGCCAAATTTTTTGAAACTTGGTGAGCAATAAACTTGAACTCATCAGATGCATTGGGAATTTTAAAATGCACTTCTTTAACTGAAGAGTTATATGGCAATCGAAATGGCAGAAGATGCTGATGCCAGTGCCAAGAGGGCAGGGAATATAAAAGAATCTGGAGTCTATAATTCTGACATATGGGTTGTAGGGAATTGGGGGAAAAGAAAGCTCAAAATTTGAAGTATTGGACCAGAGAGTTTACATCTGTTGAAGTCTCTGCAGAACTAAATATAACAGCTCTGGGAGGTATCAGGAGAGAATGAACCCGTCTTGAATGTCAGGCATTATTCTAGAAATGTTTCCATCTGCCAGGCCATTTAATCTTTACTCAACAAGGTTAGAGGCAGGGATGTGCATCACAACATTCGGTTGAGAGAATGGATGATCCAAAAGATTTGGTAATTTACCCAGACTCTCACATCGCTAAAAGAAGGCAGATCCAGGATTGGATCCCAGCCCTTCAGGGCACCAATATCTTTCTCCTACCCAATCCCACCAGGATCTCTTTCAGGAGACCGTGTCTTCTCTTGCCTTCTCCAAGAGCTCCAGCCTGCCGAAGGGGCCCCTGAGTGTCTCTGTTGATGTGGTTTGGGAGCCTGAGTAGCAGCCTTTAGTAGTTTCACAAAATACATCTGAATCAGGTTTCAGTGATTCAAGTAGAATGAGGCCAGATTTATGAAGTTAAGAAACATTAAATCCTTCTTTTCCTGGGGTTCAGGGAGAAGAAAGGTCTTGCTGCCAACCAAAAAAAAAAAAAAAAAAAGTAGTTTCTCATTTCTCCAAGGCTGCATTTGGAAGCTCATGCTTCCATGATATAGGAAACACAGATGAGCAAAGTTTCAAAGTTCTCACCACATGGAGAGAGCAGACTCAGCAGTCATCCAGCGCCCACCTCACTCTGAATGGGCAAGTTTCCCAGGCCCCGAAGCGACATCTGGAATTGGACATACAGGCGCAGGTAAGGGGAATCATCAGAGGAGGGGGCATTCGTTCAATCATACGTTCGTTCATTCAACCAATATTTGTTTTGGCAGGTTCGTAAAACAGAGCTAAACGCAGCCAAAGTCTCCATTCTACTGCAAGCCCGGAAGTTCCATAAAGCTGGTCAGGGGCTAATATAAGACTGATGAGCTTAGGCTGAGGAAGTGGGAAGTGGGGCAATAGGAAGGCAAGTCCGTCCAGGCAGTTAGGCAGATTCAGGGCCTGGTAGGATACCCAAAGAGAATCAGGAATGCAAAGGAGACACAATGGTCAGGGCAGGGGCAGTGAGAAGCCAATAATGAGCTTGAGGTATAGAGGCAAGAAAGGGCTAGAGTATGAGCTGCGGACTTTCTGAAGCCCAAAGGCTGGATTCTTCACATATTTCTGGCCCAGGACCCACACATTTCTCAGTACATATGCAAAGCGGATCTCATAGGCGAAGACAAGTACAGCCTCCTGAAAGATGTAGGGTGGGGAAGAGAAAGGAGCAGTGAGCCAAACAGTTTTAGCAGCTCTGTAGGCAGCTTGGGCTTTGGAAGGTGCAAACTCATTGTTCTCTTGCATGGTGAAATGCAGTTACACCATCCCACAACATCCAAACCGACACACCAGGGTATATGAAGTCTGGTCTAATCCATACTAGGGATCAAAAAGATTAACAGGTTTATATTGCACGAGGTAAGCCCTGCTGAAAAATCCTTCCTGCTAACACATCCTAAACTCAAACACTTCCCATTGGGACCAGCTTTCTTTCGAAAAGTAAAAGTCCCACTGTCCATTTTCACAAGGGGCAAAACGTAAAGATTTAAAACCCCAACCTTGAAGGTTTATTTTTCAAATTTACCAGGCCAGAGAGAATGACTTTTAACCTATTCATTCTTATCCAGGGTTTGAAAATTAGGAGCATTTCTGTGTGTCGGTTACAAGTAAAAATTTCACTATATTCTAGGAATTACACAAAGCTTACAGCTCCTGTCAAATTAATACAAATTATAAATAAATGCAAGTACATGTCCCTTCAGATTAAGCTAATTGGGATGGTGGCTGCTTCTGCATCTGGCAAGGGTCCCAGCAGTGTTGGTCAAATAGAAAGACCACAAGTCCAGTGCTCAGAGATAGCTGAGTTGGAATAATCTCTGGCCCACCAAGCAATAAGTACCTACTATCATGTCTGATCCATGGTGGTACCCACTAAATTTAAATCTCCCTCCTTTAACTTCATACTCCATTTGGGTTGCCTCTTCACTCCATCTCTCTCTCCAAGGAGGATGTTAATCTTTGGGTTTGTTTGTTTGTTTTTGAGGCAGAGTCTCACTCTATCGCCCAGGCTGGAGTGCAGTGGCGCTATCATGGCTCACTGCAGCCTCAAACTCCCCAGGCTCAGGTGATCCTCCGACCTCAGCCTAAAGGGTAGCTGGGACTACAGGCATGCACCACCATACTTGGCTAATTTTTTTGTATTTTTTTGTAAAGGTGGGGTTTTGTCATGTTGCCCAGGCTGCCTGGAACTCCTGGGTTTAAGCAATACACCTGCCTCAGCCTCCTAAAGTACTAGGATTATAGGTGTGAACCACTGCACCTGGCCAGGATATGTGATAGGCTCCTTTCCCCAACCACCCCCACCTGGCCCTTCCTAGTTCACAGTGCATACCTGAAGGCAAGGCTCAAGAAATTGTAACAGAGCTCAGAGAAGCCAGGCTTCAAGGTTCAGTGGGAATCCCGAGTCTTACACTACACAGCACCTCCAGAAGCCAATTTGTCCAGCACACGCTCGCAGACAATGAAACACAACAAGATAATGCCCCACATAGTGTCTACCACTTTTCCTCCTCTTCTCTGCCTGCCTTCCCCAACCACCTGGGATTTGCCCGATCAGGCACCTTCTTCGTTGACCCAGTGTGGGAACCTTCTCAGGGCCCTCCCTCCACTCCCTCATCTCCTGGGACAGGAAGGACTCCAGAGAACAGTTAAATAGACTGGCAGGATGAGGAGGCTCTGCCTCATGATAGAGCACACAAACCAGGGGCTGCTTTCCTGCCCCAGCCTTGCCTCGCGGTTAGGAGCACATAGACTACTGAGTCACATCATAAATTGTTTCAAATGAGTTTTTCTCTCCTGTTAATGTACCACGGCAGGAGGAAGGGGTCAGGGGAAAGATGTTGAGCAGAGAGAGACTGAATTGAGAGGAAAGGGCTCAGCGGAGCTGGAGGGAGCATAAAGGGATAGGATTTAGACGCCCACTCTGTGGTGACAATCAATTTCAGCCGTAATAATAAGATAACGCAGAGGGGAAAAAGCAGACGTGCCAGAAGTGATAAAATGGAAATGAATTCTCATTACCTTGCTGATGAGAGAGCCACAGCTTCTGCCACTGCCTCGTCACTTGGCAAGGGGGCATCTCATCCCAGTGTTTATCATGTGGGTCTGGGCAAATAAGAGAAGAGAGAAACGTGTACAAAGTTTCACTGCAGAGCAGGGAAACTCAGCCATGCCGTCAATAGAGATCTCAGAGGCTCTCAGCGAGTCACTCCCAACCTCTACTCCAATCAGCAAGCCCCTACCTTTGGCTGCGGGGAAGGGCGCCTTGATTCACCAAACCGAACCATTTGAGCCCTCAGAGCTGCATTTGGCTTCCAATTCTCCAGCAGAAACACCTGTAATCTCCAAACACCTGAGTGTGGCAAGGGTGCAGGCAATGAATCGGTGCAATGAATGCCCTGCATGTAAGCTTCTGTCTGGAGCTGGTGGTGACAGTAGAGTTCATGGCACATTGCAACAGGCAGCCCAGAAGTCTCCCTGTTGTCCCACAGACCACACTGCTCAGCAAAGTTTAGGGAAAGATACATTTTGCCTTTGGCACCCAACACTCTGTAGTTTGTCATTCAGAGCCTCTCCATTAACTGGCTCCAACCCATTGCATTCACTTTGTTAAGCTTTCTGCCAGATTCTAGCCTTATTGGACTACTAACCATTCCTAGAACATGCCTGTGCTTCCTGTATGCATTGGTTTCCACATCCCCCTCTATTCTGTCCTTTCTTCCTGCTTTTATTGCCTGAGTGTTATTCTTAAAGATACAGGTGCAATGGTTGGAAATGTCTTCTCCATTATGTAAATCTCCTTTATAGCTGATTTATATTGTTTTATTAACTTTACTATTTCATATATTGGACCAGAGTTATTTGTACAGTTATTTGTACAATCTAATCTAAACCGTTAGACTTTAGAGTCATAAGCCTTTCGGTCTAGTGCAGTGATTAATAGAGAGCGATCCACATAGTAGGTGCTCACTGTCTTATTTTTGTTTGTTTTGTCTTTAATGTGTGAATGAGAAGAGGAAACAGGAAGGTTAATGGCTTTTTTCCCTTCATAGCCATTGCTAAGGTTTCTTTTCCTCCAGTTCCTCAATCCTCCGTGGATCCTTGGAATGTCAGCTGTTGTTGATTTCAGACTTGCTGATAGACTCAGACTACAGCCTTTCCAATTCTAGCTGGTGTTTCCTTCCATGAGTTCCTGGATGAAGCGTGCGCTGGCAGGAATCATTAGTGTCCTGACACTCATTATTGTAACTTAAAATGGACACCAGATTCTATTTGCATGTATATTTCAACAGTTTGATTCCCTTTAGAGCAGGCCCACTTTCCCGCCGACCCTGACCCTTTGGACACATCCTTGTTGTCATGCAAGGCTTCTTCCCTCCTTGCATCAACATTTGTTCTACCTATAATAAGGGCCACCTCCTATATGAATCTGGGTCAAGTGTGGAAGAACTCTGTGTCTAAGATGTTATCCCTACCTTTTAGGATATGCACTACAGAGTACATATCCAACAGTTGTCAAGATCTCTCAGGATGGACACATGGCAATGACAGTTTTATCTCAGGAGCATACGCTGGACCAGCAAAGAGACAAAGGAGCTGTTATGGACCAAATGTGTGTGTCTCCCAAAGTTCATATCCTGAAATTCCAACGCCCAATATGATGATGTTAGGAGATAATGTGTTGGGGAGGTAATTAGGTAATGAGGTGGGGTCCTCGTGAATCAGATTAGTGCCCTAATAAGAAAAGAGACAAGAGAGAGCTTCCTTCTTCTCTCTGCTTTCCACCATGTGAGGATACAAGAAGGTCTACAAACCAGGAAGAGGGCTCTTACCAGAACCCATCCATGCTGGAACCATGATCTCAGACTTCCCAGCCTCCAGAACTGTGGGAAATAAATGTTTGTTGTTGAAGATACACAGTGTATGGCATTTTTGTTGTAGTAGCCTGAACTAAGACAGAAGACCACTTGATTGTGGGCACTGAAGTTCTTCCTAATACAGCTTTCTAAACATGTGGTTCACATCAAGCTGGCAGTCCTTTAGTTTTCAGCTGGTGCCTAGGCAAGAAATTAAACACTATGGAATCATGTACAGATAACTACTTCCCTTTCAATTGTCTGACTATAACACAGAGAAAGACTCAATTTGGTGCTAGATGTGAATATCTTCAGACACTTACTAATAATGCCTTTTAACAAAACTAGACTAAGCCAGAGATCTGCAGCCTTTGAGATCACCACTGTCTGGCCAGAATTTAATAATAATGGCTTATTTTTATAGTCTTGACTTACATGATTACCTTTCATTTAGAGAAGGCAATTTTGGTTTTCCACTAATGTACTAATGATAACAATAGGTAACAGTTCTTGAATGTTCATCATATACAGGGCACTGATGTGTTTGTTGTGTTTGGATCTAATCTTCATGGCAATCCTTTTAGTTGGGTGCTATTATTATTCCTTTTACAGATGAGGAAACTGAGGCATAGAGAGGCAAAGTAAGTTACCTGAGATCACATAGCTAGTAATTAATGGACATGGGATTTGAACCCAGTATGTGCTCTTAGTCACTATTATTGCTTCTGGTAATGATATAAAATGCGTTTTTGGAACAAAGTTATTTAAGTAAAAATAAATGTTAAACGAACTTAAATATTACATAATAATAAATTATCCTGAGGGTAGAATATAAACACTTAGACTTTTGGAAGCTCGGAATTAGAGTTACTCTGTTACGGTCTGCACAGTGCCCCCTTGGCCTGTAACAACCCAGATAAGGGAAGAGATTGAGCAGAGTTTGGGTGGCCAGTTGTCCAGATTTCCTTTACAAAGTAGACTGGGTGAGGAGATTTTTCTGAACCTTGTATGGGGTAGTGGAAGCTTGTGGGCTCTGAAGTAAACCAGAGCCATAAACCCTAATTTTTCTACTGCAGGCCTTGTGCAATTTTCTGGGTCTTTTTTTTTAATTTAAACTTTCTAATCTGAAAGCATGAAAAAAATCACACATCAGAGGATTGTTGTGGCAGAACAGGGTGACATACGCAACATCACTAGTGGAGGACACAGCCTAAACGAGATTTTTAACAAAGATCTGTTTCTCACCCCATGATTTTTTTTTTATTGTGGCAGATGCCAAGATGTGCTCAGAGATACTGGTGTGACCAGACTTACAGTTTCAGAAATATTTCTGAACTGGGAATTTAAAAGATGTGTGAATATTGCTATTTAGTGTTCAACTTCTAATAAACCACTAGATCCTACCCAAACCCCACCCCATTTCCCATAGTAGACTCTTAATATACTTGGCCAAAGTCTTTGGGTAGAAGCCTACATATTGAAGATATACAAAAGTCATATTCCTTGCAGCACTAGCAATGACGAACGTGTCCACCCAGAGGATGGTGGAAAGACTAAAGGACCACCTGCAGCAAAGTTTGAAAAATATTTTCCATCACCACCTGAACAGCTTCCTTTTTTATTCTCTTTTTCTTCAAAAAAAAGTTTATCAGAATTGATCTTATATAATTTCAGTAAATATTGAACAGTAACAAAAATACGTATTTTATTGCTGGGGAAGAAGAGAGAGTCTCTGTCCTGCAGAAACTTGGTTTAATTGAGGAGAACAAAAACTAAACATGTAATGAGTCAATTCAATTGAAAAAAAAAATAGGCTCCTACTGTTTAGTGCCTAGAACTATGCCTGGTGTACAGCAGAAATTTGATATTTGCTGAATGAATGAATGAATGAATCCTGAGGTCGGAACTAAGCCTGGTATACAGAAGAAATTCAATATTTGCTGAATGAATGAATGGATGAAACTTAAGGTCAGAACTATGCCTGGTGTACAGAAGAAATTCAGAATTTGCTGAATGAATGGATGAATGAATCTTGAGGTCAGAAAATTTGCTTATTGTTGAAGCGTAAACATGAGCTTGCTTCCCCTGCCCACACTTTCATGCTCATTCAGTACCTGTACCTTAGCTCCTTTCTTTCTTGACATTTGTGTCTTCTTCATTATACTGAAGGCCCCTTAACAGGGAATGTGTTTTCCATGTCTATGTGTCCTAGAGCCTGGCACAGAGAAGACACTTAATAAAAGTTCTTTGAATTCATTTTGATATAAGCCCCACTTCCTTGCATGCTTTTCTTCTAAACCTGGTACATCATGCATTAGAAACATGGGGTGGAAGCACCTGGTGCTTACAGATCCTACTAAAGTGACTATCCGGCACAGGTATGAGATAAAAAGATTGAGGTCATTTTAATAAAACTTCAGTTTTACCCTCTGGTTATTTTGCAACCAGCTCTGTAGGGTTATAGTATCCTTTATCAGCTTATAAATCAGTTTCAGTAAGTTCATAAATTTTGTATTATGTGTCACAAGAATTTGGCCTTGACTTGAAAACAATGGTTGTGTTGATTAAAATCCAGGCCAAAAACTTCTACTCAGGCCAGGTTTGAATCTGTCTTTCTCATAATGACATCCTCAGTTTTATGCATTTTTGTTAAATTTAAACAATGCTTCCTATGAATGGATCATGGATTTACACCAAACTAAATTTGTAACTGAGGAAGAAAATATGATATTATGATCTCATCATCTGGTGGAAATATTTCTAAGAAAGAGGAAGATGGGAAGAGATGAAAAGCCAACTAGAGGGAATTAACCTCAACTATGTCTGAGTTTCTCCGCTGGGGGCTTCACATATGTGGAAGCTTAATATCCTCACTACAATACTACGAGGCCTGTGTTATTAGCCCCTTTCACATAGGAGAAAGCTGTTTCCAAAAAGAGATTTTGGTCAGCCCACTGTTACGCAAAATTGACAGAGCTCAGGATTTTAAAACCACTCCTGAGTTCCTAAAAGCTGAAGGTCTTTCCACTGGTAAGTGAAAACAGGCCAGGAAAAACCAAACTGATTTAGCTGTCTCTGTAGAAAATGGATTATGAAGAGAACATCTTCCATGAATATCCCCAGAAATACCTCTCATTATCGGAGGAACCCACTGAGCATGTCCATCTTCATCAGTGTGCTATGGTGAGACCAGGGCATCTGAGGATGGTCTGAAATGAGGAAGACTCAGGCCAACTCTGGTGAGTGTTTAGAATATTAGTATTTTCAAAAGGGTCATTTATTATTGTTTGGTTTGGCTTGGTAGTTTTGCTAAAAAGTATATGAACATTAACAGAAATGAATTAACATTACAGAAACACACACACACATACTTTTTTTTTTCTTTGTTTTGAGACGGAGTCTTGCTCTATCACCCAGGCTGGAGTGCAGTGGTGCGATCTCGGGTCACTGCAGCCTCTGCCTCCCAGGTTCAAGCGATTCTCCTGCCTCAGCCTCCCAAGTAGCTGGGACTACAGGCGCACGTCACCACGCTCGGCTACTTTTTTTTTATTTTTAGTACAGACGGGGTTTCACCATGTTGGCCAGAATGGTCTTGATCTCCTGACCTCGTGATCTGCCCGCCTTGGACTCCCAAAGTGCTGGGATTACAGGCATGAGTCACCGCGCCCAGCCACACACATACTTTTAAATGCTACAAGACTTCTTTTGTTTTTAGCAGTATAAGTGCAAACTTCTCCTCACAGCTTGCAAGGACTTTTCACTTCCTGGCCCCAATTCCCCTTCAGCTATTTCTCTTCTGCAGCATATGCTCAGCTAAACAGCTTGACTTGCAGTTCATCCAATCCTCTTTCTCTCTCTGTGCCTCTCTTTGAGAACAGCTTTATTGAGGTATAATTTATAATAAAGTATACCTGTTTAAAACAGACAATTTGATAAGTTTTGACATCTGTATACCCCTGTGAAACCATCACAGAGAGTGAACATAGCAATTATCCTGAAAAGTCTCCTCCTGTTCCATATTCTTGCCCCCTGCCTGTCCTTCTTCCCCACACCGAGAAACCACTGTTCTGCTCATTGTCACTATAGATTAGTCTGAGTTTCCTAGAGTTTTATATAAATTATGCATTTGCAGACCTTCGTTGTCTGGCTCCTTTCACTCAGCATAATTAGTTTTGGATTCATCCATGTTATTTTGTATTATCAGTGTATCATCCGTTTTTATTGCTGATAGTATTCCCTTGTGTAGATATACTATTATTTATTAATCCATTCCCCAGTTGCTTTCACTTCTGGGAAATTACAGATGAGGCTGCTTAGGATCATTTGTTTACACGTCTCTGTATGGACACATTCTTTCATTTCTCTTGACTCAACATCTAGGAGTGGAATCACTGGATCATATGGTAGATGTATATAGATTTATGTTCATTTTTTTTCTGGGTTAAAGAACAGAAATATATTGTCTCAGTTTTGGAGGCTAAAAGTTTAAAGATCAAGGTGTCAGGAGGATTGATTCCTTCTGAAGGCTATGAGTGAGAATCTGTTCTTGCCTCTTTTCTGGCTTGTTATAGTTTACTTGCAATCTTAGCCATTTTTTGGCCTGTAGAAGGATCGTCCCCATCTCTACCTTCATTTTCACATGCCTTTCTCCCTCTGTGTGTGTCCACATTTTTCCTTTTTTTTTTTTTTTTTTTTTTTTTGAGACAGAGATTCGCTCTTGTTGCCCAGGTTGGAGAACAATGGCGCGATCTCAGCTCACAGCAACCTCCGCCTCCCGGGTTCAAACAATTATCTTGTTTCGGCTTCCCCAGTAGCTGGAATTACAGGAGCCCACCACCATGCCCAGCTAATTTTTATATTTTTAGTAGAGACGGGGTTTCCCCATGTTGGCCAGGTTCATCTCTCACTCCTGACTCTGTGATCCGCTCTCCTCGGCCTCTCAAAGTGTTGGGATTGCAGGCATGAGCCATCGCGCCTGGCCCACATTTTTTCTTCTTTATAAAGACACCAGTCATGTTGGATTAGGGGCCCACCCCACTCCAGTATTATCTCATCTTATGTGTTTGATGTTTCAAGAAACTGCCGAACTGTTTTCCAGAGTGGTTGTACCATTTTTTATTCCTAGCAGTAGTTTTTTGAGATTTCTAGTTCCTCCACATCCTTGCCAAGTGAACATCTGATAGAGTCCATCATTTTTTAAAATTTTACATATTCTGGGCAGGGCGCGGTGGCTCACGCCAGTAATCCCAGGACTTTGGGAGGCCGAGGCAGGCGGATCACGAGGTCAGGAGATCAAGATCATCCTGGCTAACACAGTGAAACCCTGTCTCTACTAAAAAAAAAAAAAAAAAATTAGCCGGGCTTGGTAGCAGGTGCCTGTAGTCCCAGCTACTTGGGAGGCTGAGGCAGGAGAATAGCGTGAACCCGGGAGGCAGAGCTTGTAGTGAGCCGACATCACTCCACTGCACTCCAGCCTGGGCGACAGAGCAAAACTCTGTCTCAAAAAAAAAAAAAAAATTACCTATTCTGATAGTAGTGTATTGATATCATATTGTGTATTTCATTTGCATTTCTCTAATGATGAATTGTATTTCATGCACTTATTTGCCACCTATCTCTTTCTGGTGCAGTATCTTTTCAAATGTTTTGTCCATTTACTTATTAGGTTGTTTATGTCATATAATTCAGTTGTAGGAATTCTTCACATATTCTAGATACCAGTTTTTTATTAGATGTAGAATTAGAAAATATTTTTTCTCATTCTGTAACTTATCTTTCATTTTCTTAGCAGTGCCTTGTGAAGAGCAGTTTTTAATTTTGATGAAGACTGAATTATCAAGTATCTTAGTCGGCTTGGGTTACTGTAACAAAATACCACAGACTGAGAGGCTTATCCAACAGAATTTTTCTCACAGTTCTGGAGGTCAGAAGTCCAAGATCGAGGTGGTAGTAGAGTAGGTGCAGGGTGAAGGCTGTCCTCTTGGGTTGCAGATGTCCACAATATCCCTGTGTGCTCTCAGGGCCATTCCTCAGTGAATGTCTGTGTATGGCAGGGGGCGGAGGCAGGGAGAAGGAGTGAGAGAGTGCTCTGGTGTCTCTTCTAATAAAGACACCAATCCTATTGGATCAGTGTTGCACCCTTACAATCTCATTTAAACTTAATTACTTCCATATAAGTCTCATCTCCAAATACAGCCACACTGAGGGTTAAGGATTCTACATATGAATTTTGAGAGGCAAAAACTCTCAGTCTACAACACTAGTTTTTTTTTTTTTTTTTAATTTTGTAGATTGTTCTTTTGGTGTCCTATTTAAAAAATTATTTCCTAACCCAAGGTCACAAAAGTTTCCTTCTGTATTTTATTGTTTTAGATTTTACATTTAGGTCTATGATCCATTTTGATTTAATTTTCATATCTCTGTGAGGTATGTATTGAAGTTCGCTTTTATATATGGATATCTAATTGTGCCAGCATCATTTATTAAAGAGTATTCCTTCCTCATTGAATTGCCTTTGGCAACTTTGTTTTAAATTAGTTGTCCATATACGTGTGGCTTTATTTCTGTTTCATAAACTGATTTCTCTAGCTTCATATTGATACCACACTCTGTTTATATAGTTTTATAACTCTTGAAATCTGGTCATACTAGTCCTTCAAATTTGTTCTTTTTCAAAGTTATTTTAGCTATTTTAAAATCTATGCATACCCATACATTCAGAATAAGACTTTCAATTTCTACTCCTCCCACACCAAAGTAAAACACTACTGGGGTAATGGTTCTGACTCATAAATGCTATATATATCACAATGTATTTAAGTTGTCTCTGATGTCTGTCAGCAATGTCATAATTTTAGTGTATATGCCTGTACATTTTTGTCAGATTTATCCCTAAATATTTTATATTTTTAAATAATGTGAAAGATATTTTTAAAAATTTCAATTTCATATTTTTTGTGTTTTATTGAAACATGATTGGCTTTTGTACATTGATCTTGTATTATGCAGCCTTGCTCAACTCAAATATGGGTTCTAAGAGTGATTTTGAAGGTTCTACCAGATTTTCTACATAGACGATCATGTTATCTGTAAGTAAAGAAAATTTCATGTTTCTTTCCAGTCTGGGGACATTTTATTTATTTTTCTTGCCTTATTATACTATATGTTACCTCCAATTAAATATTGAGTAGGAAGTTGGAGAGCAACCATTCTTGTCTTGTTTTCAATAAAATATTCAGTCTTGCACTATTTTGTATGATGCTACCTATGTATTTGTTTGTTTGTTTTTTAAATGTCCATTATCATATTGAGGAAGTTTCTTTCTATTTCTGGTTTTCTGAGAGTTGTTGTTGTGTTTTTTAAAATCAGGAATTTCTCATTTTCTTTTCTCTTAATTTCCCATATTCTTTTTTCCCCAGAATTTACTGAGATAATCAGTTGCTCTTCTGTTTTTTAGTTTATGGCAAATTGCATTGATTAATATTTGAATGTTAACCAGACCTTGCATTCTTGGCATACATCCTCACTTGATCATGATATACTATTATTTTTATATACTGTTGTGTTGATCTACTGAAATTTTCTTTAAAACATTTTTTATTTGCGAAGATGAGAAATACTAATCTGTAGTGTTATCTTCTTGTAATATTTTTGTCTGGTTTGAGTATCAGAGCAATACTGTCCTCATGGAATTAGTTGGTAAGGATTTCTTCAGTTTTCTGGAAGAGCTTACATAGAATTTGTATTATTTTATCTTCAAATATTTGGTAGAATTTATCATTGAAGCCACCCGAGACTGGGATATTCCTCAAGGGAAGAATGAGAGAAAGGAGAGAAAAGATGTATTTAACTACACATCCAATTGTTTTTAAATGATATAAGGCAATTTATGTTATTTACTTTTTCTTGAATGTGCTCAAGTAATTTGTCTTTTATGGAATCCATCCATGTCATCTAAGTTGTTAAATTAATTCATAAGATTATAAAATATTTTCTTATTATCCTTTTAATATCTGTAGAAACTTCAGTGACGCCAGCACTCTCATTTGTGATATTGTTAATTTGTGTTCTCTCTTATTTTCCTGAACAGGCTGGCCACAGTTATATCAATATACTGATCTCTTTCTCTCTCTCTTTTTAAATATGTCATTTGGCTGCATTGATTTCCTCTGTTTTTTTTTTCTGTTTTCTATTTCACTTATTTCTGTTTTTTAAAATTATTTCCTTTTTTACACTTATTTGGAATTAACTTGCTTCTATTTTTCTGATTTCTTAAAATAGAAACTGAGATAATTGATTGGGAATATTTTCTTTTTTACTAACAAAGGCATGTAGTGCTATACATTTTCCATAAGCACTGTTGTGTTTTCAGTTTTTATTTGTAAAAAATACTTTATTTTCTCTTTTGCTTTCTTTAGCCCAAGAGTTATTAATAAATATTTTATTTGGTTTTCATATATTTGAGAATTTCTCAGAAACTTTTATGTTAATTATATCTAATTAAATTCTATTACAGTGTGTATACTAAATTCTTTTCAGTGTATTAAGATATTTTATGATCTAGAGTATGATCTATAAGTGCTCTCTGTTTGCTTCAAAATAATATGTATTCTGCTGTTGTTGGGTGTAATGTTCTATAAATAGCAATTAGATTAGCTAGTTGATAGTGTTATTCAAATCTTCTGTATCCTTACTTAGGTTTCTATCGGTCTATTAAATATTAAGAGAGGATGTTGAAATCTTTGACAATAAACTGTAGATTTGCTTTTTTTCTTGGAAATTCTAAAAAGATTTAGGATGATTATATGCTCTTGATGAATTAATACAGTCATCATTATGAGTGACTCCTTGGTCTATGATAATATTCAGTGCTATAAAATCGACTTTCTCTAGGCCAGGTGCAGTGGCTCATGCCTGTAATCTCAGAACTTTGGGAGGCCAAGGTGGGAGGATCACTTGAGCCTGGGAGTTTACGACCAGCCTGGGCAACATAGTGAGACCCTGTTTCTAATAAATAAAAAAATAGCGGAGCATGGTGGCTCTTGCCTTTTGTCCCAGCTACTTGGGAAGCTGAGGTGGGAGGATCACTTGAGCCCAAGAGGTCAAGGCTGCAGTGACCCACACACTTCAGAGCAACAGAGCGAGACCCTGTCTCAAAAAAGAAAAATTAAAAATTGACTTCGTCTGATATAATATAGACATTCCATTTTTCTGGACTAGAATTAGCATTATATATGTTTTATCATCCTTTTGTTTTTCATCGATTTGAGTTTTTATATTTAAAGTGTATTCCTTTTAAGAAGCATATAGTTGATACACTCTTTTATATAAAAATAAAATGTGATAATCTCCACCTTTTAATTGGGATATTTACCCTAGTCACCCTTAATGTGATCATTGATAAGTTTAATTTTATCATCTTGCTATTCGAATTCTGTTTGCCTTATCTGTTCCTTGTTCTGTTTTGGTCTTTTTTTGTATTATTTTCTATTATTAGGTTTTTTGGTTAATTCATGGCTACAACTCTTGATTTTGTTATTTTAATTATTTCTTTAGAATATACTATATGTATATATATACACACATATATATTTAACTTATAACTTCCTACTTTCAAGTGATATTGTACCACTTAACATATAATAAAATAACCTTACAGTGGCATACTTCCATTTTACCCCTCCTGACCTTGGGATATTGTTGTCTAGCATTTTACATATATGTGTGCAGACATGTGTGTGTGTGTGTGTGTTTGTATTTTAAATACCATATTATTATTTTAATTTGAGCAGACAATTTAAAACATATATTAACATTTTTAAAAAATGTTTTCTCTTTACCCATGTAGTTACCATTTCTAGTGTTCTTCATTTTTTGCAGAGATCCATATTTAATCTGCTATTATTTCTCTTCTGCTTGAAGAAATCTCTTTAACATTTATTATATTGAGAGTCAGTTGGTGTTGAGTTCTCTTAGCTTTTGCATGTCTGAAAAAGTATTTGCCTTCGGTTTTGAAAGCTATTTTCATTGGATATAAAATTCTAGGCTGACAGTTTTTTATTTCTTTTAATACTTTAAACAATATTGCTTCATTCTCCTCTGCAGTGTTTTTGAAGATAAATTAGCTCTCATTCTTTTCCTTGTTCCTCTTTGTTTTCTCTGCCTGCTACGAAACTTTTCTCTTTACATTGCTTTTGAGCAATTTGACTATGATGCATGTGTACTTTTCTTTATTTTTCTTGTGCTTCTAGTTTGTTGAGTTTCTTGGGTCTGTGGTTTATAGGTTTTACCAAGTTTGAAAAGTTTTCACCCATTTTCTTTAAATACCTCCCCCAGTCTGCTCTGTTAGGGACTCCAATTGCACTGTATTAAGCCATGTAAACCTGTCCAATTGTTCAATAACCACTTTTATCATGATGTCTTATCTTATTTCTGCCACTTCTTATCCAGTGTATTTTTCATTTCATGCATTTTAGTTTTCATATCTAGAAATCTAGTTTAAATAGTTTTAAAAATATATTTTTATGTTTAAGTTTTAGCTTATATGGAATATAATTATTATAACTATTTGTGTTCCCAGTCTAACACTTGTTTCTGTTTGCCATCAGTTTCGATTCATTGATTTTTCTCCCCATTATGCATCATATTTTCCTGCATCATGCTTGATTAGTATTTGTTTGGGTGCAAGACATTGTGGATTTTGCTTTATTGGCTGCTGGATATTTTTATGTTCCTATAAATATTCTTCAGTTTTCTTCAGAAGAGATGGAGTAAAGTTACTTGGACATAATTTGGTCCTTTAGAGCTTGTTTTTAAGATTTGTTGATAGTGGCCAGAATGGAATTTAGTGTAGAGATAACTATTTCCCACTACTAATGCAAGATTCTTCTGAGTATTCTAAATAATGCTCCATGAAATAAAAGGCTTTCCAGTCTGCATATTTTTGGCTCTGTTGGAGCAGTCAGTACTGCTCCCTGTAATTTATTTAGGTAGTGATATTCCTGGCCTTGGTTAGTTTTTTTACACACATGTGCTAACCAGTACTCTGCTGCTTCCTCAAGGAGACACTCTGCATATCTCTGTAGTTCTTTCTTTCTGGGCATCACTCTCCTCTCTAGTACGCTTTCCAGTGAACTCAACCCACATTAGCGGCCCTGGACCCTCAACTGTGACTCCTCAATATCTAGTCTACGTGTCTCTGCCTTGTTTTCCCCTCCCTTTGCTAAAATGGTTCAAGACCATAAACTGAGGCAATTGCATAGTTTTTCTCATTTGTTTCCCATTTCTCAGGGATCACTGTCCTTTGTTGCTTGAGGGCCAGTGTGTCACAAATCATAATTTCATATATTTTTCCAGGTTTTTTGGTTGTTTCAGGTAGGAAGTATATCTAGCACCTAGCCAGAAGTGGAAGTCCCTCTCTGATTCTCTTTCATTTCTGCCTTTTGCACAATCTATTAGCTTTACCTGAAATAGTCTTTCCTCCATTCTTGCTATCATTTACACATATTTTGGATCTTTACTTAGTCATTTCTTCTCCTGGGTGATCTCCCAGGCTACCTTTCCTTAGTGCTCCTAGAGCACCTGAGGCTTACCCCTCCTTAATACCAATACTATTGAATATAATTGTCAGTTCTTAGTATCTTCTATTCTACTAGACTAAGGACATCTTGAAGGCATAATGAGAATGAGAATCACTTTCTTTTCACCATTACATCCTCTGGTCCTTGAACTGAACTTTGCATATATTCTTCAATATTTTTAAAAGTGCAAATAAATAAATGGGCTAACTCTTGATTGATTCCAACACAATATGTAAAACAGAGAAAATAAAAGAGACACATTTTGCTAAGGATATTTTACTCATATAAATTTGACCATATATTAGAATATTTGTATTTCCAGATACCAGGTGTGCATTCTCTAGCATGTTTTCAGACTTGCCAATCCCACACTAAGGTACAAGGATTGATGTGTGCCCAAGAGATTGCCTCCTAAATTGTCGAAAGCAATAGTAATTCAACAAGTCTGTGGATTGCTCCTTAGAAGAATTGACTAGTCTATTGATGGCTGTAGGGCTTTCACATAACCATAGAGTCAGAAATCAGAAACCCAAGCATAAGCACTCTGAAGAGCTATGTTAGTTTCCCCTTGCTTTGTTCAATGACAAGATGACAAAGGTAATGAGACATGCGGGGAGAAACAGTCTGATATAAACTGAAGGAAGGAAAAGAGGAAGCATCAAGATAGCATCAAAAATGAGATGCAAAACAATTCCTATTGAGAGTCACCTCTCCAATGTCAGGAAAAGTTATATAGACAAGGGATTACAACCTGGCTCCAAAACAATATAGAAGTTTGGGATTCCTCTCTGGATAGCAAACACATGAACCATCAAGGCTGTGCAATACAGAGTTTGTAAAAAATATCTGTAAAGAATTACCAGGTATCTAGTGAATGTGGCCCCAATTGTGAAGAATATATGGACTCACAAGGGGATAGTCCAAATTTTAGTAGTTTTTGTTAAAGAGAGCCCCAAACCCTATTTCCCTGCAATTTTCAACCACTAGTAGTGGCATTTTTTTTTTCTACTGGATCTGTAGAGTATTTCTGCTATTTTCTTTATATGCCTACTTTCAGTGTTGTTCTAGAGCCAACTTATACCCACGTGTATGAGCCAATCTTCACAGTGCCATGTTCAGTGCCTTCACATAGGCAGTTGGAAATTAGACATGATGAAAGTATCCACACCATAGGAACCAGCTACGCAAGTCAGGGCTCTCCCCAAGGAAAGTCAATTGTTATACATTTATCAGCATACCACTGACTACATTTTAAATATTTCTTGACAATGACGGTTTTAAGAATAACAACCTCAGGATCACGTGCCCACATTGAGCTGAGCTCTATATTGCAGGACAGCTGACACCTTCAGCCTGTGTTCTCCAGGCTTCTGTGTCAGTGAATTTCTGGCTTGATTTGGTCATTTGCAGACACTGAAGAGAGATTGGGGTAGCCAATAGAAGGGAGGCAGATCTTTCTACCCCCTTGTTTCTGTCTGTGTCCCTTGCAGCGTCTACATCTCTTCTTTGGTTTCAGCTTCTGACAATGAGACCTGCCATGGAGCCAGCTTCTGAAATAATCCTAGTCTTCTAGCTGTAGCATCACCACTCCCTCCCTCTTTTCCCTCTGGTCTAAGGGAGTGGTGGCTCGTGCTATTGCTAATGTCAGAATTGCTATCTTCTATTAGGCTTCTAAGCTGGTTCATCACCTGTGCAAATTCTGCATTAAAGTCATTCTGCTTAAATATTCATGTGGCATCTGAATCCCAGTTAGGTCCTGACTAATATAGTGCTTGAGTAATTGGCCAAAGTTCACATAGCAATTAGTTAAGCTTGGATTTCAAGCCTTATGTTTGACTGTGGAAACTCTGCTATATACAGTAGTCTGATACCACCTTCTAATCTTGTTCTGGTTTTCAGATTCTCTATACAGGCTGACCCCTATGGCCTACTAAGAATGAATAATTAAAACTCTAGGAATCCCAGGTAAGTCTTTCAGGCAAAGGTCCTGGAGAAATGTCCTCACTGATGTCCACATTGAAAGCTTTCAGTTATTCATCTCTGCTTCAAATTGGAAAACAAAGAAGATTAGATGAACTTTCCAAAGCTCTTTTCCTGTAGGAGTATATAATCTTGCTGTGTCTAAAAGCAGTGCTATTTTATGTTTTTGGCCACAAATACAGACTTAATGTGGCATATAATAAAACATAATAAAATACGTGACATATTATAGGCTCATGCTCCTCTGTTATATTTGTGGTTGAATTAGAACTATGTCATAAGGTTACCAGGGAATAAGAAAACATTACAGACACGTGCACTTGGTCATCATTACCCTGTTTTTCTGATCCCTGTAACTCGCCCTTCTTAGCTCTCTTTGGTCAAAATCGTGCCCAGTTTTCTTGTCTATCTTGTTGACAAGTGCAGACTCTATCACTGTCCCCAGTTGTGCCAAATCCATGATAGTTATCACCTACTTTGTTTTACCCCATCAGGTGCTCTGGTGGTGAATATAAAGACAGTCCCCTGAGAAACCAGGGTTTTAAATTCCCGCTGTGAGACGTCTATGTGTATCCCTGTGACAAACTTGATTTTGCCCTCTTCTTGTTTTGTTTCTACAGGGTTTGTTGGAGTTCAGGGTTGTCGCTGAGTGGTGGAAATATTGTTCTCAACCAAAAAAAAAAAAAAAAATGTGGGGATTACATGCCAGTACCATCCACCCCTGCATTAGAAGTTTTCATCGAAGAGCTTCATTTCACAAGGTACTATTTTTCCTTTCATAGCATTTGCCACAAATGCATTTTATTTATTCATTTATTCCTTGTTGTTTCTCTCCCTTCACACTGTTAACTCCATGAGAACAGAGTTTATTTTCTCCACCTCTGTATATAGGAGAGTGTCTGGCATAGTAGGGAAGCCAGAGATATTTGTTGCTTGAACAAAAGTAAATGCATAAGTTGAGTGAACAGATGGCTGCAGGTCAAACATTATACAATATCGAACACCTTCTCTCTGTGCACTTCTGAGCCCTCCCCACCTTTCCTCAGACAGGAATGAGAAGCACAGGCAGTCCCAAGCTAGTCCTCGGCCATAGTTTGATCTCTGCCATATACTAAGCAATGTTGCTTCTGACTTTTCTTCGGGAGCCCTTATGGTCCATGAATTCTAGATGAAATGAAATCTGGAAAAAGAAGATTGTTTCTACATGTTAGAGGTAGAATAAATGAAAAAGGAAAAATATTGTGTATTAGGAATAAACAATGATAGCAACAATGGTAGTATCATATTCGCCCTGGGTTTAAGTCAATTCTTTATCACTTATAAGCTGTGTTACCTAAGACAAGACATTTAGCTGCTCCAACTTCCATTCTTTTTCTCACATGTAAAATGTCAGTGATAATTGTACCTTCTTTTACTAATTCATGCATTTCTGAGGGATTTAAAGGTGGGTTTTCCAGGCATGTTCTCACTCCCAAGTGACCCCTTTTTTCCCTCACCTTTTTCTCTTCTCTCACAAAAGCTCCAGGTTTTTAATACATTGCCCTCACCCAACTTACAAAAAATAATTCTCTCAAGTGTCACTTTCCCTCAATGATGGGAGTGACTTGTGATTGATTTATGTCCTTCCCAGGGTAATTTATATTTTTAAATTGGACAAAGGGATATAATTTCAATGGTAGAACTTTAGGGTGGGTTATAAACTCATTGGGAAGTTGTCTATGTCCTGGGAGCATACATAGAGTCTCTCAAATTAAATCACAAATAACTGCCTTTCTCATAAGTATCTAAGGCCAAGTCTGCTTGGTTGATCAACCTCTGAACATGTGGTACATAGCACTCACCAAAGGTGCTATTGATATGTTCTGATGTACACTGCGAATGTTTCCTAAATAGATAAAGTGCAAGGCATGTGATAGGAGTTCTCAATAAATAATAACCCATGTCCTTCATGGGGCACAGTGGTCCCACTGTCCGGTCTGGCTGCTTGAAAAGTAAACTTGAAGAAAGTTATAACTCGTAAGGAAAGTAAAATTATCTAAGGTTAGACTATGGGCCTCAGATGACAGCTGAGGGCAGAGCTTTTCCAAGAAAGGATTATTCATGGAATAATAATTCAATTTAGGATTCCAACTGTAACATCTCAGATAATTTATTCAAGTTTATGTAATTTAAGGTCCGGAAAGCACATTATTAATTGTATTGTTTACAATCATCTAGACTTTGCTGTGGTATCACATTCACCCTCCAATCTAGGTGACTTAACAGTATCAGCTGTTTTTTCTTTAAATAAAGTTACTTTTGTTTATATTTAAGGTATATGACATGTTGTTTTAAGCTACACATATACTACAGTGGAACAGATTAATATGTCCATTATCTCATACATTTACCCATCACTGCCTTCCATGTCAAAAGCAGCAATAATCTAGTCATTGAGCAAAACTCCAACACAATACACTGTTATTAACTATAGCCATCATGTTATAAGTTAGATTTTTCAGCTTGTTTATTCTATATATTTGCTGCCTTTTATCCTTTGAACTGCATCTCCCCATTTTCTCCCCCAACTGTGGCCATAGTCATGATTCTCTATATTCTCTATCTCTGTATGTTTGACTTTTTTTCTCCCTTTCATTTTCTGTTCTTTCTTTTTTTTTCTTTTTTTTCTTTTTTTTAGATACCACATATAAGTGAAGTCATGCAATATTTTTTCTTTCTGTGATCTGCTTATTTAAATTAGCACAATGTCCTTCAGGTCCATTTACGTTGGGGCAGATGTCAGCATCTCCACCCTTTTTAAGGCTGCATAATATTCCATTGTGTATCTGTACCATAGTTTCTTTATCCATTCATTCATCGATAGACAACTAGGTTATTTCCATATCTTGACTATTGTGAATTTTGATGCATTGTGGATAAGTTTATGAGATGGTGATTTCATTTCTTTTGGATATGTACCCAGAAGATGAATTGCTGAATCATAGGTAGTTCTACTCTTAATTTTTTTAGAAATCTCCACACACTTTTCCATTGGCCACACCAAGCTACATTTCAAACAGTGTACAAGGGTTTCCTTTTCTCTACATCCTCGCCAAAACTTGTTATCTATTCTTTGTTTGACAATAGCTATTCTAACAAGTGTGATGTTGTAGCTCATAGTGGTTTTGATTTGCATTTCTCTGATAATTAGTGAGGTTGAAAACCTTCTCATGTACCCATTGCCCATTTAATGGTGTCTTTAGAGAAATACATATTCAAGTCCATTGGCTACTTTTTAATCAGGTTATATGTTTTCTTAATATTGAGTTGTATGAGTTTTTATAAATCCTGGATATTAATCCCTTATCTGATATATGGTTTGCAAATATTGTTTTCCAATACATAGGTTGCCTTTTCATTTCATTCTTTACTTTGTTGTGCAGAAGTTTTTTAGTTTGATGTAGTTCCATTTATTTATTTTTGCTTTTATAGCCTGAGCTTTTGGTGTTGTAGCCAGAAAATCATTGCCAAGGCCAATGTCAAGGAGATTTTCCCCTATGTTTTCTTCAAGGAGTTTTATGGTTCCAGGTTTTATGTTTAAGTCTTTTATCCAACCTGAGTTGAGTTTTACGTATAGTGTAAGAGAAAGTTTCCATTTACATTTTGCATATAAAAATCTAGTTTCCCCAGCAACATTTATTGAATAGACTATGTTTTCCTCATTGTGTCTTTCTGTGCCCTTATCAAAAATTAATTGGCCATATATGGTTAAATGTACTTCTGGGATCTCTCTTCTCTTCCATGGTCTATGTGTCTGTTTTTGCTACTGTTTTGATTACTATAGCTTTGTGATATAATTTTAATTAGGAAGTGTGATTTCTTAAACTTTGTATCGTTTCTATTTTCCTTCAGAATTTCATTAGCCATTTGGAGTCTTTTGTGGTTCCATATGAATTTTAGGATTATTTTTTCTATTTCTATGAAGAATGCCATTGGAATTTTGATAGGCATTGCATGGAATCTATGTATTATTTCAGGTACTATGGACATTTTAACAATATTCTTTCAATACACAAGCATGGAATATATTTTCATTTATATTTGTCCTTTTTAATTTATTTCGCCCATATTCTCTAGTTTTCAGTGTACAGGTCTTTCACCTCCTTGGTTAAATTTATTCCTAAGTATATTATTTTTGATGCTATTGTGAATGGGATTGTTTCTTGATTTTTTTGGCTACATTGCCATTTGTATATAGAAAAGCCATGGATTTTTGTATGTTGACTTTATATTCTGCAATGTTACTGCATTCATTTATCAGATCTAACATAGCAGTTTTTTGGTGGAGGCTTTGGGGTTTTCTAGATATAGGATCATGTAATATTATCTGAGAAAGATAATTTTACCTCTTCCTTTCTGTTTTGGATACCTTTTATTTATTTTTCTTGTCTAATTACCCTTGATGGTATTTTAGTACTCTGTGGAATAGAAGTTCAAGAATAGGCCTTCCTGTCTTGTTTCAGACCTTACAGGACAAGCTTTCAGTTTTCTCTATGATTATCATGTTAGCTGTGAGTTTTTCATAAATGGTCTATATTATGTTAACAAACTGTCTTGGTCCATCTAGTGTCACTATAGAGGAATACCTAAGGCTGGGTATTTATGAAGAACAGAGATTTATTTGTCTCATGGGTCTGCAGGCTGGACAAGAAGCATGGTGCCAGTATCTTCATCTGGTGAGGGCCTCAAGCTGTTTCCAATCATGGTAGAAGGGAAGCGGAGCCAGTGTGTGCAGAGATCACATGACAACAGAGGAAGAAAGAGAGAGAAGGGGAAGATGCCAGGTTGTTTATAAAAACCACCTCATAGAGGAATTTACAGAGTGAGAACTCATTCACCCCCTCCCCAAAGGAGGACATTAATCTATTTTTGAGGAATCTGACCCCGTGACCCAAACACCTCCCATTAGGGCCCCACCTCCAACATTGGAATCAAATTCAGCATGAGGTTTGGGAGAACAGACATCCAAACTATAGCAGAAACTATCTATACCCAACATTTTAAGAGTTTTCACAAGAAAGTATGTGGAGTTTTGTCAAATGTTTTTCTAAATCAATTTGATATCATATTTGATTTATGTCTTTTAGTCTATTAATGTGATTGATTTATGTATGTTAAGCCAGTCTTGCATGAAAGGGCTACATTCTACTTGATCATGATGTATAATCTTTTTTAATCTGTTGTTGAATTCAATTTGCAAATTTTTTGTTGAGGACTTTTGCAACAATATTCATCAGAGATATTGGCCTGCAGTTTTCTTCTGGTACCTTTGCCTGGGCCTAAAATGTCAAGGTGATTTGTTCCTCACAAAATGTGTTAGAAAGTATTCCTTACAGCTTTATTTTTTGAAAGAGTTTAAGAAGTATTAATATTAATTATTTTTTGAAAGTGTGGTAGAATTCAGCTGTAAAGCCATCTGGTCCTGGGTTTTTCTTTGTTGGAAGGTTTTTAAATTACTACTTCAATCTGCTTGTCATTCATCTATTCTGGCTTAAGATTTATTTCTTACTATGTTATTACCTATTGTGGATTAGCAGGGCCTCTGTTCCATGTAGTTACCCAGAAACCCAGGCAAACAGATTCAAAATGCACAGCTTAGCCTTGGAAGTGACAGATGTCACGTGTGCTCATGGATCACCTCCCAGAATTAGTTACATGGCCTTCTTAACTACAAGGGGGGCAAGTAAGAAGGAGAATTGAACCAGCTATTAATTGTAATATCTTCCTTAGATATCTTCTAGGTAGTGTTTTTTAACCCATTTGGGACCATGAACTCATGATACATCTCATAAAAATTCCGGGCCAGCTACACAGAAAAATGTAGATGATTATATACAACTTTTGCATTGAATTTCATTGAGTTTACAGATTCTACTACAACTCAGCCAGGAGGCCACTACCAGAAGTGTGGTGGAGCTGACTTAGAGTGGACAACAGGAGTCTTCTGTAAAATTGTTAAGAATTTTGCAAGACAATTGATGTGTTGCTAGCTCCAAATGGCCACAGTGGGAATGCTGACACAGTGGAAATTGGCGAATGCTACCAAATCAACTCTGCCTAGTGCTTCTTTTTCTGGAAAATTGTTTGCTAAACATTTCCTGTAACACCAATGCCACTAGTGGCCTCCACTTGTTTGCATCTAAGCAACTCCTCCTCTAGATCAAAGATCTCAAATACACATCTCACATGTCTATTCTGCTTGACTGGTAAGCAATGTCTTAGAGCACTGTCTTGGGAAGGAATCTGAGATATCAAAGTGTACTAGCATCAGATAGCAATATCTGACTTAGATGTTAGAGTCCAGAGTGGAAGCAAAAGTGTGTAATTCTTTCTTTTTTAAAACAATGGCCTTATTATGCATATAGAGATACTAAAGCCCAACAGGATTAAATGAAATGACCTGCTTCAGCTCAATTAATGTTGTCAACAACTCTGGATTTCTATACTGTATCCAACCCTGTCTCTGAATCAGTACTGAACAACTAGTTTCTGCAGCAGCCTGACATGACCATTGGTTACCCAGGAGACAGTGATCTGAGATGGTTATCACTCCTCTACTAATTTTATTATCTTGACCTTTGAAGGTCATAGCTTTTTCTATGGGTGTGCATTTTTTCTAGTACCATTTAGCTGAGAAGTATTGAGGCAAGTCTTCTTCTGGGAGAAGAGATTGTGTTTGATATAAGCTGGACATCTGAGATTTCCATCTGAACTGGAGATTAGATTTGGAGATCAAAGAACAGGGCCAAATCATTCTTTAAATTAGTAAGTACCTTTTGGCATGACAACCCCTTGGCACTAGCCAACAAATTAGGGGTGATCCATTTTATCACCTGTGCACTTTAAATTAATTAAATACATTAACCTTGAGTGTTTGCATTTTTCTAATGTACAATTATAAAACATACACAAAAAGATTAAAGTTAAAGGAATAATTTTAGCTAGAGACCTGGTTAAGGTAGTGCCCTGTACATGGCTCCCAGGTTATCTAAAATGAGGCAGCCATGGATGCTTCTTATGTGTGACAACATGACGCCCAAAGTATTTAACAAACCAGTAGGAATGACCCCCTCATACATTGGGGTATATATGTGCCAGCCATTCTGGGTACCCAATTGAGGGCACACTAAATTAGCCGCCTCCCACTGTTTACCTGGTGTGCTCCTAATTGAACTATGACCATCGGAGCATAGAAGAAAGGGCCATAAAGGTGTTGTTGCATTGATTAATGATAGTCATTGATGAAGTGTCAAGTCGTTACTGCTTGACCAACGCAGGACACAGTACCTGCCCTCCAGCAGCTCATAACCTGTGGATGATGTCCTTGTTCTACATGCAGAGAGATGGGGAAATCGTGCTACTCTGGTCCCCAGAATTCCCAGTCTCCCTTCAACAGATGGCCCATGTCCCTGACAAAGGGGATCTTGCTACTCCTCTTATTTTACATCCTAGAAGGAGCAAGAAAGGGAGAGTTGAAGAATGTTGTTGCAATGCCTTCATTCTTCAGAAAAATTAGATCCACAGAGGGGAAGTAATCTTCCCAAGATTGCACAGCTACTTTATTTTACACAAGTCAATGCAGAGACCCAGTTTTCCCAGCTTCTAGTCCAGTGTGCTAATCAGTGGCATTTTAAACAGAGTTGAAATTATCTAAAATTTTGTTGGAAAAAAATGGCACAATTATGCCAGTTTTCATACTACTCATTTACAATCAAATAATCACTTTGTTTATGAGGAACGTGTTTTTTTTTTCCTGATGATTTCTATTCGTTATTGTTGATTTGACTGCTTTGCATTTATGTTTTTGACTTGGCCGTCTTTTTCTTTAATATTCTGGTTTCTACTAGTCATTACCGTGAAAGAAATTAGGACAGAGACTGAAAGAATAATTAACTGCAAATACACATTCATGCTTATGGTATTTTTGTTTTTCAAGGAATTTTCCACTCTCATTTCCTCAGTTCATTTTCAAAGAAACTTTATGAGGCAGATTGACTATTACGACGTGACCCATTTTAGAGTTCATCAGTTAGGTAGCATTCACAGCATCACACAAGCATTTAGTAACCAAGCAATGACTAGGACCAGTTTTCATGGCTTCCAGTCCAATGTTCTTTCTATGATACAAAGGCATAATATCTGCTCTAATATCTGAGTAATACCTACCAGCCTAAATATTTAAATGCAGGTTCCCAGAAGAGGTCATTAAAGTCATAATTAAATAATAACAAAATCTCCTTTTGTTATTTAGAAATACGTTTCTAAACTTCACTTCCTACTTATCTGGGGCATTTTCAACACTGGGCTCAAGGTAAAAATCCATCAATATGCGTCAAAGGGTTCACATTCATAATCATGTACCATTTTTTCCATAGAAGTTTATCTCAAGTTCTCATTCATAATATGACTATTTAATAATTCTGGGCACATTTCTAATCAGTTGCCAAACCTAGAACAGACTAGGATTGAATGGAGGATGGGAGTGAGAAAAGGTGGGTGGAGTGATTATACTGCAGCAATGACTGTGGTAACAATAAGAAGTGATAGCTGGGAAGGTAACAGCAAGGGGGAGAATTTGAAAAATTTGGGAAGAAAACGAAACTGAAAGAAGGTAGTTGCTCTCCAAATACCTAGTAGCCCAGTTCCATTTTCTGAACCTTGTTAGATCCTCCAATCTTACAGATAACCCCGAGCCATTAAGAGCAGTTTCATTTAAGTTCATTAAGATTAAGAAAATGCAGGGAGGTAGATTGTCACCCATCATAGAAATGTTTCAATCCCACTTGCTCAAGACTAAACCAAAACAAATATGTTTGTGTGTGTGTGCGTGCGCGTGTGTGTGTGTTTGATGCTTTATGGCGTATAAGCAAATAAAATCAGTGTGTCTTTTGCTGTTGTTGCTTTTTAATTAGGAGGCAGAGGAATAAACTTCTGTTACCTGGAATTGCCCCCTAAGTGGAAAACATCCTTTGCCTACAATAGCAGATAAATAAGGCATTAGTATCTGTTCTCTTCTATATTCTCAAAGGCTACCTTATCTCCCAGGATACAAAGAGATGGAATCAGACAGCCTGAGAACTTTGCCCTCCTGTCAGAGCTGGAACCATCACTGTCACAGTGCACACATCTGGTGCTTTATGCCCAAATACAGATTGGTCATGGTCTGTAGTATTTCCCAGAGCAGAGGCTGACTTTGGCAGCTGGTCCTGGAAGAGCAGACAGCCTGGAGGCTAGGGGCATAAGGCAGAAGGAAGGAGCAGTTCAGAGGGTCACTGCATGACAGCCAAGGCCCTTAGGAGGCTGGCAGCCATCAGGGCAATTCAGAGAGTGCAGTCCTGAGGTTGACTGCCACAAACCGTGACTTCCCACTTGGGCTTGCTCAAAAGAGGACTTACTGGGTATTTTTGCTCTTCTGCTTGCTTTTTGTGGTTGCATTAACTTCAGTATGCCTACCCACAACAACCTTGTTTCTGGGATTATTAACCACCAGTGGCCACTGGGGTACTACAGTAACTGTGCTAGCTGCAATCACCGCAGATCTTTGCCAGTCCGGTTTCTTCTTGGTACTCGAGGTTGATCCCAAACACTAGTAGAAGAGACTGATCCTGATGATGCTACCTAATGCTGCCTTCACCCTGCAGCCCAAACAATGTCCTAAGTCTTTGATGCTCTATGTTTTTTTCATAATAGCGTTTGAAATTATCTTACTGTTTATATAATTCTTTACTGTTTCTCTCTTCCTCCATTAAGGTAGAACCTGTCTGTTCTGTTCACTGCTGCATCACTGTACAAATCCCTGCTTAGGACACAGCAGGTGCTTAATAAGCACATGTAGGAAAATGATGGATGAATAAATGGATACATTAGGATTACTCTTGTTTTTCTCACCAAGTTTCTTTTAATTAACACTTGTAGAGTACAAGACATTGAGGATGCCACTGTGAGTCACAGGAAGGCTAAAGGACTGTCCCAGTTCAAGCAGCTTCCTTGTTGTGTGCAGGTCCATTTTAGGAAGACAAAAACAACTATTGGATACAATAAGCTCTGGTAATGTTAGTGACATGCATGGGAACCTCTTGTCTTTAGTGAACACTCTTTGTACTTCATCGTCTGTGCACAGGTCTTTGATGGAACAACAGAAGAGACAGGGCTCATCTGACTGATCCAAGGAGCAAGGACACCCAGGACTTATCTTTAGATCTCACCTCACCTGCCTGAGCAAGCCAGTGAGAATGGGATGTAAGGAGTCAGCTCTAGAGGTCTAAAGAATCATCTAACAGGGAAAGCTGAATGTATGGACATTCTGCGGTCTTCTGCCACCCAGAAGTACAGGGCAAGATGTCCAGAATGTGGATCCTATCTCTGACCTTATCCCATTTTTTCAGTTATTCTCAGCAGTCACTTTTTTGCTTGTAAGTATAGAGACGCTCACCTTACTCATAATACAATCTAAAGATCTTCCATGACCTCTCTGACCTGCAGGATCTCCCTCTAATGCCTCTCTTACCCTTCCCTTCTCTTGAGCTTTGCTTGACATTCCTGGTATCTCTGCCAAGGCCACTCTCCTCCCTGAGTACTGCTTGGCTCACTCCTTCATTTAACTTTCACTTTGACTCAAGTTACCATGTTTTCAGAGATATTTACATATACTTCACAAGTATTCCTACTTATGATGGTTTTTTGTGTATCAACTTGACAGGGCAAAGGGATGTCTAGATAGCTGGTAAAACATTGTTTCTGGTTATGTTTGTGAGAGTGTTTCTGGAAGACGTTAGCATTTGAATGACTAGACAGAGCACAGAAGATCCACCTTCACCAATGTGGGTGACCATCATCTAATCCCTTGAGGGCTAGAATAGGACGACGACAACAACAACAACAACAAAAGAAACCACAGCAAATTTACTCTTTCTGTTTGACTCGGACACTCTGTCTCCTCCAGCTTGGGGACACTGGTGCTCCTGGTTCTCAGGCCTTTGAAGCCAAACCAGCAGGGTTTACAACATTAGCTCCCCTGGTTTTTGGACCTTTGGACTTAGGCTGAATTATGGCAGTGGCTTTCCTGGTTCTCCACTTGGGGATGGCAGATCATGGGACTTCTTGGCCTCCATAATTAAGTGAGCCAATTCCCAAGCTGAAGAATAAAATTCAATAGAAAAACTTGACTTTTGCACCATTTTATTTTGGCAGCCATTCTCAGACATAATCTCATTTTATCCTCTTTCTTCAACAAATTCCTCCTCTGATGCTGCTGAATACTTATTTTCACAATGATACTATAGAGAAAGGAGTCACCTCAGAGCATCCATTCAGCCAATCTTTATTCTTCACTTTTTTCATTCCCAGGCCAAACCTTCAATCTATTCTCTGATTCAGCTCAGAGGAAGGCAGGCATGTGTTTACCTGCAGCTGAGAGTCAAGCAGGAAGCAGGGCAGTTGAACTGCCTCCCTGTTGTTACACCTGAGCTCTTTCTACACTGGGTACTATATGGAATGATTCATTTGAATGGGTATTTTCCCGTGGTATTGACTGACATCTACACCATTAGTGTGCTCAATGATGACATAGAACTAATTTATATATAACTTGATAGTGTGTTCTTCCAACCTCCTTGCTCAGCAGAAAATTTTAGGCTAATTCTTCTTAGTTCCATTTTGGTGTTAAAGGAAGTCTTGGGCAGTCCACTAGTGCTTCCATCTCCAAAGAAGATATTCAAGGCAAAGTTTATGTTTCTGCGTGAGTAGGTGAGGGCTTACATTGGTCCAAACCGTCATATTTGTGGTTATTCATGGAAGAAAGTTTTGCTGGGGTTGGTGGTTTGTTACATCCCCAGGAGCAGAGTTGAACATCATTTCAAAGTGGACACTTCATGAGTAATGGGCTTCCCACTGTTGGTGGATAAGTTCCTCTGGAGGGCAATGAGGGGAACCATCTGTAGTGAGGCAGCTTCCTAATCATTGTCATTCTTTACCTCAGAGATGGAGGTTTATCTTGTCCTTATACTGTTATCTCCCCAGTCTCTGTGCAACTACATGTCTCCTTCTTTGGCCTCTGTCATTTATCAGTCTCTGCAAAGGGAGGCTTGTATCTTCCTATCTAAGCAGTTTGCAGAGCATTTGTCATTGTTTCCACAGTGAGTCACTACCCACTGTATATATGTAGAAGAGAAGGAATGGACCCTTAGGATATAATTGAAATAATTTAGTGGGTGTGGGGGACAAGCTGTTTGATTCTGGAGAATACTTTATATGAATAATTTTAGTAATGGAAGATGTTGTTCTCAGAGTCAAAATTAGAGTGGTTTAGACTCTGATGAGCCTAACAAAGTGACATTACTGTGAAGTCCCATCCAGTACAGTAGGATCCCATCTAATACTGAGTTCATGGAAAGCTCTCAACAGATGAAGGCATCATGCCAATTGGTCAAGTCAAGAAACACTACCTGGAGAATTACTGTTTACCTAGAATTGTTTCTGTTTGAAGAGATGATTTAAAACATAATATAGAGCCAGACGTGATGGTCCACACCTATAGACTCAGCTGCTCAGGAGGCTGAGCCAGAAGGATCCTGTAAGCCCAAAAGTTTGAGGCTGTAGTGCGCCCTATGATGCCATAAATGGAAACTTCCATGACCTGACACCTTTGCTTTCTGATGGTTCAATGTACATAAACTCTGTTTCATAAATACAATTATTGAAAATATTGTATATAATTACTGTTAAGGTATGTGTATGGGATATGTATGAAACATAAATGAATTTCATGTTTAGATTTGTGTCTCATCCCCAAGATATCTCATTATGCATATGCAAATATTTCTAAATTCAAAAACATCCAAAATTGATAACACTTCTGGTTCCACATATTTCAGATAAGGGATACTTAACCTGTATTTCATTTAGACAATGCATATTATTTTAAGATATCTGAAAAATCCCTCAATTAATTTACATGTTAGGTTTCTTCTAAATCTGAGTCTGTTATAAACCCTGTATGGTTTATATAGACTAGAGGCTAGACTGGCCAAACAAGGTACTTTAAAGACATAAGACAACAGGCTATCACTATCAGAGTTCTATGTCAGCAATGGTGCAGAACTAGAGGGCACTTTCTTTGGAAGAAGCTTAGGAGTCTGTCCATTGTCTGGAATCTAGCACTTTTATGTTCTGGTTTAGAAAGCACGTTATACGCGTTGGGCTTGATGCCACATGGGAATATAGCAAGAGTGAGAAAGTACACGGATGGTGGGAGGTGTAAAATACTTCCTGAAGACCAGGTGATTTGAACATCATTTCCACTCCAGAGAAATCAAGGGCCAGTGCCATTATCATTTCCTCAGGGAAGATGCAGATGCATTTATTTTTGTAATAAATTAGATGATTTCATTGCATCCTGCAAAGTCAAAGGACTTCTCTTCAAATTCATTTTATCACATGAAAAAACAGACTATTGATTAATTATGCAACCAGTAAGGCTATTTTCCCTGAACCAAACACTAAATTCTTTCAGCACTGATAACATGGTTTTCAACTCAACTCTATTTCACAAACTATTTGAGCACTTAATATGTGCAAAGGGCTGTTTGTTTTCAAGCTTTGTCCTAGTGAAGGGATTATTAGAAGTTGCAGAGACTCTGTCATCTGGAAATCAGAGGCAGTGGAAAGCTACAGGAAACAGGAAGTGGGAAAAAGCCTTACACCTCACAAGAGGAGCAAGACAACCCAAGTTGTGTGCCCACAACCACAGCAAATTCAGCACTCAAGCCTGAGGGTAGTTCTCAGTATTTCAAAGTCAGGCAAAGGTAGGGTGAGCATGGACGAAGACCAAATCCCTGTGAATTATGAGTTAACAGGCACCTCTGCAAAGAGTTGGTGTTTCAGGCAAAATTCCCTCATAAAAAGTAATGTTCTGTATGGACACATAGACACTAAGAAGCCCCCAAGGAGAAGAGGAGCTGATAACAGCTTGGGTGCAACCAGTAGATATTAAAGAAGAGCTGCTTGTCACAAATGATCAAACCAGTGCCTATCACAACCTGTGAGCTCTTTCACTACTTGGTCTAAACACCTCTGAGACTTGAGAAAGGGACTTTTGTTATATTTCCTGACAATTTATTTTCCTACTGTTTTCAGGAAAAGAGCTGAGTAGACTGCAATCACCTGGCTATTCAAGAATTGTTAGGGGCTAGGGCAGGAGGTGGGAGAACTGAAGAGAGGCAGGGTCTCTGCATTGAAAGAGTCGGCAGACTATTAGAGATGAGATACCATTGTGCAAATAACTACCTACGTATAGACTAGTTGAAGAGAGGACTGGTGCAGAAGTTTGAGAAACATTACCCTGAAGGCTGAAGATGAATGTAGCAGAGAGAGCTGAATGAAAGGGCACAAAGACGGGGGAATAACATTAGCAAAGGTATTAGAAAAAAAAAAAAAAAAAGCAGACCCTTCAAAGCTTCGATGTGAGGTTTATGAAATTAGGTAGGAAAGGTGGCAGGTAGGTGGGGGTGTTCCAGCTCCTGCTTTCCTATGACCTCCTCCTCATACCAACATGACCCTTACTTCTTACCAAAGCCATGTGTGGGTAGAAAGCCCACCAAACTAAAAAGAAGGAAGTGCAATCAAAATGAGCCTCAGAGACTGTGAGCTCACAGGTGGCCCCAAACTGCAAGAGTGGCCTGACCAAAAACACTTCCTCCACACTTATCCTTATAGTCAGTCCCTTACTTTTGAGGCTCCAGACTCAGACAAGGTTTCATTTTTTATTTGAATTTCATTACAGGAAGTAAGGAGGGGAGTGCCTGCTAACCCAGTGCCAGATACCACCCACAATCCTTTAGCATATTATTATTACAGATTTTCTGTTTGTTTGTTTTAATACATGTGCATGACCTACACACCATTTCAAGGAGTGCTTGTGGTCATCAAGAGAGGAGGTTGCTTGTGCCACATCAGGTAGGTAGAGAAAAATGACCTGTAACACTCAGATCACAGCGAATAAGGAGACTGAGGAGAAGATAAACCTTCTCATTGGACATTTCAAAGCCTCTCTAAAATGGATGCTTCTGACATATCTTTTAATGAATGTTAAGTGAAACATTTAGAATATAGAAGTGGGTAACAGTGTTAGGAGTCTCTTTATAGTTATTATTTTTAACTTTTAAAAAATGAAGTTTTGTTGATGATAGAAGTGTTGCTTTCTTCATTAGTAGTAGTCCTATCACCCCGCTCAGCTAAGTGGAAAACCCTTCCTTCTTTCCCTGACTTGTTATGCCACCAACACGAGGCTGCATCTTTATATCCACTCTTTAGCCCTATGATGGAAACTAAAGGCTAATAGTAGTTTGAGGCTAGACTTTAGAGGACCTCAAATGTTATGGTAAGGGCATTCACTGTTATTTGGTGAGCCCTTAGAAACCATCGCAGAAGGAAGTGTTAAATAACCAAAGATGTCCTTAAGGAAGATAGTTGCAACATTTAAAGAGAATGAACTGGATGGTAAACTGGAAGCCCTTGCAAGTGGAGGCCATGCTAGCAGCTGTGATCTGATCCAGGTGAGACAATAAAAAATTAGCTGTACTGGGGGCATTGCAATGAAAAGAGAGCATAGATGCTGCCATTCTCTAGATTTACAGCAACCTTGACACACAATACTAGAAATAGATGCCAGGTTCCCTGCACTGCTGCTGACATTATCAATAAAATATAAATAGTAATAAAAATAATAGCTAGTAATTACTGAGTACTTTGTGTCTGGCATCATACTGAATTCTTTATATTTATTAACTTATAGAATGAATAAACTTCTCAACAACTCTCCCAAGCAGGCCTATTATTATCCTGCTTTGTAGGTAAGGATTTTGATGCTTCATGATGCTAAGTAACTTGCTCAAGTATTAGCATCAGGTAAGCAGAAGTACTGGGCACTAAACATAGGTCTGTAGGACTTTATAGTTCATGCCCTTCATAAAAGATTGCCCCTCTTCTCTACTGCATAAAGCAGTTGCCTGCCACACCCAAAGAAAATGATAAGAAATGTGCCTCTTTTGAATGCTGTGATTCATTTCCACTTTGAATAAGAGGGAATAGAAAGGAGATTCTAGGAGAAGGCTTTGGCTTAGAATCAGGGGTAGAGAAAAAGTCATTTGTTAAATTAAAATTTTAAAATATAATCTTAATATCTGAATTGAGAAAATGGAAAAGAAAAGGGGCAATGCCAGCCGAGCACAAGGAGGAATATTTTAGGGCAATACACCTGTGTGTGCCAAAGAAAGGTAAATTGAAGGGAGGAACAGAAGAACTCCATAATTAGGTTTCCAATTCACTGAGTTTGCATCACACATCCTCGAGCGTGTCTTTACTGAAGGGATTGTAAAAGACAGACAAGGTGGTTGAGCTTTTGAAGCCTGTAATTTGGGATATCTTTGTTACTGGATGAGAGACTGATGTTAGACAAAAGTGACATGTCAATAATGGGGAAGAGGAGTGGGTGGAAATTGATGCCTCATGGTAAACCCTGATGTTTTGAAACTCTTGGATTAGATTACTGGCTCCATTTACTGATTTTAATAGTGAGTAGAAGGAATTGGTGTGAAATTTACAGGAGAAATTTACAATTGAGTGTCGCTTTGGAAGCACCCAAGTAACAGGTTTTGTTTTGTTTTTGAGACAGGGTCTCATACTATCACCCAAGCTGGAGGGTGCTGGTTGGTGCAAACTGCAACACTCACTGCAGCATTGACCTCTCAGGTTCAAGCAATCCTCCCACCTCTGCCTCCTTAGTAGCTGGGACCACAAGCTCATACAACTATGTCTGTCTGGCTATTTATTTTTTATTTTTTTATTATTTTTTGCAGAGACAAGGTCTTCCATGTTGCCCAGGCTGGTCTCAAACTCGTGGACTCAAGCAATCCTCCCACCTTGGCCTCCCAAAGTGGTGAGATTTACAGGTGTGAGACACTATGCCCAGCCTGAGTAACAGGATCTTATGCAAACAAATCAGTAACCAACTGGGGTCAGTTCAGGTTGATGGCTTTAGCAGATTCTGTTATGTGGACCTTGGAAGTTATTGGAAGATGGAGATACGGCATCCTCAGAGTGTTTTCCAAGGGACTGTCTCATGTTAAATGCACTATTGAAAGCTTCACATTTCCCTGGAAGATATTTAGTGGTGCATTTGACTTCCATTTAGGAATAAATAATTATTTACGAAAGGTTTTCCCCTAATAAGAGCTTTGATTATTTAGAGAAGGTTTGTCCTTTTTGTGATAAAAATGCTTATTGCCGTGCTTTAAATTAGTTGCAAAGCATCCTCATTAACACAGCCAATCTGGTAAATAATGTGTCTTAGGGAAATTATCTTATTAAATAATAATTAGAGCCCTTGCTCAACAGAACATTAGAATCCTAGTTTCATAAATGAGACCCCCTATGCCATTCATTCTTTTATTTTTTGTCTGTATACCTATAAAACTAGTAATGTCAGAGAATAACAAAAATAAATCCCATGAATGAAGTGAATTCTTCTTGGTTCTAAGCTTTGCTCTGGTAGTTATCTTTGCAGTTTGAGTTCCTCCTTGGTGTAATGGCAGAACAAAGCAAAAACTTCTTCAGATATTTTTATTTTTATTACTTTTAGAGATGAGGTCCCTTTCTGGAATCTATGCTGGAATGCAATGGCAGCATCATACCACACTGTAATCTAGACCTCCTGGGCTCAGGCGATACTGCCACCTCAGCCTCCCAAGTAGCTGGGACTACAGGTGTGCACTACCACTCCTAGATAATTTTTAAAAATTTTTTTTGAAGTGACAGGGCCTCACTGTGTTGCCCAGGCTGTTCTGAAACTCCTGGCCTCAAGTGATTCTGCCTTGTTAGCCTCCCAAAATGTTATGATTATAGGCAGGAGCCACCATGCCCAGCCTGGATCTTTATTGGTACTTACTGTATTAGTTTATTTTCATACTGCTATGAAGAAATACCTGAGACTGGGTAATTTATAAAGAAAAAGAGATTTAATGGACTCGCAGGTTCCACGTGGCTAGGGAGGCCTCACAATCATGGTGGAAGGCAAAGGAGGAGCAAAGTCACGTCTTGCGTGGCAGCAGGCAAGAGAGTGTGTGCAGGAGAACTGCCCTTTATAAAATCATCAGATCTCTTGAGGTATATTCATTATCATGAGAATAGCATGGGATAAAACCACCCCCATGATTCAATTCCCTCCCAGTGGGTCCCTCCGATGACACATGGGGATTATGGAAGCTACAATTCAAGATGAGATTTGGATGGAGACACAACCCAACCATATCATTCTGCCCCAGCCCCTCCCAAATCTAATGTTCTCACAATTCAAAACATAACTATGCCCTTCCAACAGTCCCCCAAAGTCTTAACTCATTCCAGCATTAACTCAAAAGTCCAAGTCCAAAGTCTTATCTGAGACAAGGCAAGTCTCTTCCACCTAGGAGCCTGTAAAATCAAAAACAAGTTAGTTATTTCCTAGATACAATGAGGGTACGGGCATTGGGTAAATACACCTTTTCAAAATGGGAGAAACTGGCAAAAACAAAGGGGCCACAGTCTCCATGCAAGTCCAAAGTCCAATAGGGCAGTCATTAAACCTTAAAGTTCCAAAATGATCTCCTTTGACTCCATGTCTCATATCCAGGGCACACTGATGCAAGAAGTAGGCTCCCATGGCCTTGGGCAGCTCCACCTCTATGGCTTTGCAGGGTATAGCACCCCTCCCAACTGCTTTCACAGCTAGCATTGAGTGCCTGTGGCTTTTCCAGGTGCACAGTCCAAGCTGTCAGTGGATCTGCCATTCGGGGGTCTGGAGAACAGTGTCCCTTTTCTCACAGTTCCACTAGGCAGTGTCCCAGTGGGGACTGTGTGGGGGCTCCAGCTCCACATTTCCCTTCTGCACTGCCCTAGCACAGGTTCTCCATGAGGACCACACCCCTGAAGCAAACTTCTGCCTGAACATCCAGGCATTTCCGTACATCCTCTGAAATCTAGATGGAGGTTCCCAAACCTCAATTCTTGACTTCTGTGCACATGCAGGCTCAACACCCCATGGAAGCTGCCAAGGCTTGGGGCTTGCACCCTCTGAAGCCACTGCCTGAGTTGTACTTTGGCCCATTTCAGCCATGGCTGGAGCAGCTGGGAAGCAGGGCACCAAGTCCCTAGGCTGCATACAGCAGGAGAGCCCTAGACCCTGTTCCATGAAGCCAGTCTTTCCTCCTAGGCCTCTGGGTCTGTGATGGGAGAGGCTGTTGTGAAGGTCTCTGACATGCCCTGGAGACATTTTCCCCATTTTCTTGGTGACTAACATTCAGCTCCTTGTTACTTATGTAAATTTTTGCAGCCAGGTTGAATTTCTCCCCAGAAATGTGGTTAACTTTTCTATCACATTGTCAGGCTGCAGATTTTCCAAACTTTTATGCTCTGCTTCCTCTTGGATACTTTGCCACTTAGAAATTCCTTCTGCCAGACACCCTAAATCATCTCTCTCAAGTTCAAATTTCACAGATCTATAGGGCAGGGGCAAAATGCTCCCAGTCTTTACTTTACTCCAGTTCCCAATAAGTCCTTCATCTCTATCTGAGACCATCTCAGCCTGGACTTTATTGTCCATGTCACTATAAGCATTTTGGCCAAAGCCATTCAACAACTCTCTAGGAAGTTCCAAACTTTCTCACATTTTCCTGTCTTCTGAACCCTCCAAACTGTTTCAATCTCTGCCTGTTACAAAGTTGCTTCCACATTTTTGAATATCCTTATAGTGGTACCACACTCCCAGTAACAATTTACTGTATTAGTCCATTTTCACACTGATATGAAGAAATACCCAAGATTGGGTAATTCATAAAGAAAAAAAGGTTTAATGGACTCACAGTTCCATGTGGACTCACAATTATGGCAGAAGGCGAAGGAGGAGAAAAGTCACATCTTACGTGGAGGCAGGCAAGACAGTGTGTGCAGGGGAACTATGCTTTATAAAACTATCATATCTCATGATACGTATTCACTATCATGATAACAGCCTGGGAAAAACCCAGCCCCCGACTCAGTTACCTCCCACTAGGTCCCTCCCATGACACATGGGGATTATGGGACCTACAATTCCACAAGAGATTTGGGTGGCGATATATCTAAACCATATTAGGTACTATGCATGGAGAGGTTCTTCAGATGTAGATGACTTTAGCCTTTATTTAGTTCAGCTTTCTATTTATAAAGGCTGTGTTGTATAATTTCTCCAATTCACAATTATGCATTGTTTGGTTATTTGCTTTCAGTACAACTCTATTACGACTTTGTGCTATTTGTACTATTGTCAGACTGGCCAAATTAGCAAAAAGCTCCTGCTTATTTTGAGCCAAATTGAGACTCCTTAAATTCCACTTGCTAATCCTAAGTGTAAGGATTACTCTTATGTCTGGAGTAAGTCTTATACCACAGTTCCCTTGATGTGTTCCAGGATGGTTCTTCACACATCTGCAGGAAACTCTGCTATAGCCCTTTAGTCTGCTGTAAATGTAGCAGCTTCCTTCATTCATTCTTTACATGATTCATTTTCAAACAATTTTTTTTAGTGCTTCTATGGGGTCGCATGGGAGAGGCAAGAGAACCAAAACCCTGCTCTCATCCTTCAATTTTTAGTGGAAATTAGAAATTCTTCCACTTCTAACACCTAAACAAATAGGTAAATAAGATAATTTCAGAGAGAGAAATGTAAAATGAAGACCAGCCTAAACAATGTGGTGAAACCCCATCTCTACTAAAAATACAAAAAAATCAGCCTGGCATGATGGCATGCACCTGTAATTCCAGCTACTCAGGAGGCTGAGGCAGGAGAATCGCTTGAACCCGGGAGGCAGAGGTTGCAGTGAGCCGAGATCATGCCATTGCACTCCAGCCTAGGTGACAAAGCGAGACTCTGTCTAAAAAAAAAAAAAAAAAAAAAAACACACCGGAAGGAAGTAAAATAGGGTAAGATAATAGGGATAATAGGGGGTGATGGGGAATGGGAAGTCAGGTGGTTAATTTTGATAATGTTGTTAGAAGAGTGCTCTGAGGAAGCCTCATTTATGTTTAAATATAAATTCCAAAAGGAATCCACCCAAAAGGGTAGATTCCAAAACTACCAAATGTATAAGGCAGAACCTTACAATTAAAAGGAGTAGAGATAAAAATGCCCTAAGCAGAAATAGCATAAACATAATTGGATGGCTGGGGGCACACAAACCTTCCTCTGGACCAATTCTACTTTTTCCATATTGCTCTTAAATGTTGGGGCTCAGAACTGGAAAAAATGGAGTAGGTGGGCTCTGACCAGTGCACATCACAGATGTCTCCATAGTGTCAACTGTCAAGGCTGCATTTAGTAACCTATGACACTGCAGACTTATTTAAGCTTCTGACAACTTTGATATTGAGAACTCCCCTACCTATGCTTTGGGACCATCTCCTCACACCTGTATTTATAAAATCTAATATTTTAATGTAAATGTAGAATTCTCATATTTTTCATTTTGTTTCATTCTATTTTGGTTTACATAGAGTGTAACAACCTTAAGGCATTTTCAATTCTGTTTTGGTCACCACTGTAATCTAGCCATCCAACAGTAATTTGTTAAACACATTGTATGTGCTTCTATTAAACTCTTACATGAAGATGTTCACCAAAACAGGACTGAAGGTTGAGCCCCCACAGCTGTCCTCCAGAAAACGTTTTCTCCATGTTCAGAACCACCAATGCATCATAGGATGGATATAGAACCAATTTTATTTTCACATAAATAATGTAATATCTTAGTCTTAATTCAGCATGTTTTTGTATGTCATGAGAGATTATGTCCAATCCATTCATGAAGCTGAGATAAAATAGCTTTAGCACTATTTTATTAACTAAGTAACTAAACTGAAAGAAAGGAAAAATAAACAAAAAGAAAAGAAAGAAAGATAGTTGGAGGAAGGAAGGGATGGAAGGAAGAAAGAGAGATGGAGGGAAAAAGAAAGAGAAGGAAAGGAAATGAAAGGAAAGGAGAGGAAGGAAAGGAAAGGAAGAAGGAAAAAAGGAAGGAAGGAAAGGAAGAAGGAGAAAAGGAAGGAAGGAAAGGAAAGGAAAGGAAAGGAAGAAGGAAAAAAGGAAGGAAGGAAAGGAAGAAGGAGAAAAGGAAGGAAGGAAAGGAAAGGAAAGGAAAGGAAGAAGGAAAAAAGGAAGGAAGGAAAGGAAAGGAAAGGAAAGGAAAGGAAGAAGGAAAAAAGGAAGGAAGGAAAGGAAGAAGGAGAAAAGGAAGGAAGGAAAGGAAAGGAAAGGAAAGGAAGAAGGAAAAAAGGAAGGAAGGAAAGGAAAGGAAAGGAAAGGAAAGGAGAGGAAGGAAAGGAAAGGAAGAAGGAAAAAAGGAAGGAAGGAAAGGAAGAAGGAGAAAAGGAAGGAAGGAAAGGAAAGGAAAGGAAAGGAAGAAGGAAAAAAGGAAGGAAGGAAAGGAAAGGAAAGGAAGAAGGAAAAAAGGAAGGAAGGAAAGGAAAGGAAAGGAAAGGAAGAAGGAAAAAAGGAAGGAAGGAAAGGAAAGGAAAGGAAAGGAAGAAGGAAAAAAGGAAAGAAGGAAGGAAGGAAGGAAGGAAGGAAGGAAGGAAAGAAGGAAACCTTGACTAAATTTGACACAACGATCTACCTAGTCACCTGTGTTGTTTTATGTAATCTTGTTTTCAATGTCCCCAAGCTACCTGCATCATAACAGCCTGCAGAATTTTGACATGGTGGACATTGCCTTACCTGTTTTTGCTGAAGAAGTAGAATATTCATGTTCTTCTCCCTGATCATTGCAGGACTGATTCATTTTTATCCTTCAGCTTTCAGCGTTGATCTCACCTCCTCGAAGATGACACATCTGATCCCTCTGTCTAAAGTAAGCCCCATTTACAATATCTTTTCATTCTTTCTCCAAACATCCTACTGGTTTCCTTTATAGAATATACCATAATTAATAATGACATATATTTGTTTATTTGATTTTGGCTCTCTCTTCTACAAAACAGTAAGCTTCAATAGGGTTGGCTGGTGCCTACTTAGGTTGCCGCTGGAACCCCATTTCCTGGTATGGTCGAATGAATGAATGAATAAATGAAGGATCATGTAAATGTAAGAATAAGATATTAATTAAAACTTGAGTTTTATAAGTAGGCAGACCTGAGTTAAAATTCTAGCATAACCATTTACTAGCTATATTCCTTTTGGAAAATCACTTAGCCTCAGAGATTCCTCCTCCTATAAAAAGGATTGTTCTGAGATCAAGAATATGGAAATGCCTGCTATGCTGTAACTTCTTACTGAACGCTAGTTTTCTTCTCACTCTCTCTCTCTCACTTTCTTTCTCTCTGGACACAGCCTTGCTCTGTCATCCAGGCTGGTGTGCAGTGATGCAATCTCAGCTCACTGCAACCTCCACCTCCCAGATTCAAGTGATTCTTCTGCCTCAGCCTCTGTAGTAGCTGGGATTACATGTGCCCACCACCACGCCCGGCTAATTTTGTTGTTGTTGTTGTTGTTGTACTTTTAGTAGAGATGAGGTTTCGCCATGTGGGCCAAGCTAGTCTCAAACCCCTGACCTCGGTGATCCACCCTCCTCAGCCTCCCAAAATGCTGGGATTACAGGCATGAGCCACCAAGCTGGACCCTTGTTACCGATTTCTTTAGTCTTTTAGCATTTCTCACATTCTTCCTGTGTTCTTAAAGATTACCTACATTGTCTCTAACTTATCTGAAGGTTTTTATCAGTAGCACTAAATGCAACTTGGTTGTTTTTCATTTTAAGTTTTCAACTTCCTCACATGATTCTTTCATTTACATATCCTTATAGGATGTTTTTTAATTTTCTAGTTGGAGCCCCATTTCTTCTCCAGAAGCAATCTTTACCTCCTCTACTTCATCAAGCATCACAATTTTCTAGGTTAGTAATTTAGATACTCAGGTCATATTTACATAGTAGATATCAAAGATATATTTGTTGATGAGTAAACTGGCTAATCAGGGCCTTGCTTTTGGAAACTCTGTCTTCCACAGAGTAGAATTCTTCTGTAACATGGAGGCTTCTTTGGTTTTGAGGAACTCTTAAACTCTTAGAATTAAGAAAGGATCTTAGCAGACAAATCAAAAAGAAAAAGGCTAAGAAACCTTAGTGAAAAAAGTCAAGAGTATATCCCATACATCCAGATCTGAGGCCAGTTCTCTCTCTTGTAAGATTAAGAACTACAGTTGATGAGTAATACTACCATGTGCTGAGTAACTAATTCATTTAATTTTCACAATAACCCTAGGCAGAAAGCAAACAACATTATCATCTCCATATAGAAACAGGCTAATCATGATTGGTTAACTTGTCCAGTTTCTCACTGCAGAGAGCTTGTCTGACTCTGTGGTGACTAAACATGAAATTGTGTTGCTTCCTTTAGTTCACCTTAATGGCAGAGAAAAGATGAGGTCAAGAAAATATAGTCTGCATTGAGCCACTTTCCCCTTACTGGGTTCTAAAGAACAGGAATTGGTAATAGATTCCAAGAATGCTTGAAGAAAAATTCAGCAGCCAAGAAGAATCTGCACTACTCTGTTTCCAGAATACTATAAATGGGGCATAATTGAAAGATTATCATGAAATCCTTGCCTAAGCCAATGTCTAGAAGGGTTTTTCCAATTTTATCTTCTAGAATTTTTATAGTTTCAGATCTTAGGTTTAAGTCTTTAATCCACCTTGAGTTGATTTTTGTATAAGGTGAGAGATGAGGATCCAGTTCCATTCTCCTACATGTGGCTAGCCAATTAACCCAGCACCATCTGTTGAAAAAGGTGTCCTTTCCTCACTTTATGTTTTTGTTTGTTTTGTCAAAGATCAGCCAGCTCTAAGTATTTAGGTTTATTTCTGGGTTCTTTATTCCATTCCACCAGTCTGGATTTCATGACCAAGAACCCAAAAGAAAATGCAATAAAAACAAAGATAAATAGCTGGGACAAAATTAAACTAAAGAACTTTTGCATGGCAAAAGGAACAGTCAGCAGAGTAAACAGACAACCCACAGAGTGGGAGAAAATCCTTACAATCTATACATCTGACAAGGGACTGATATCCAGACTCTACAGCGAACTCAAACAAATCAGTAAGAAAAAAGCAAACAATCCCATCAGAAAGTGAGCTAAGGATTTCATGACCCTCAGTCTTTCAATTATGCCCCATTTATAGTATTCTGGAAATAGAGTAGTGTAGAAAATTGAATAGACAATATTCATAGGAAGATATACAAATGGCCAATAAATATATGAAAAAATGCTCAGCATCACTAATGATCAGGGAAATGCAAATCAAAACCACAATGCAATACCACCTTACTCCTGCAAGAATGGCCATAATAAAAAAAAATCAAAAAACAGTAGATGGCGTGGATGCGGTGAACAGGGAACACTTTTACACTGCTAGTGGGAATGTAAACTAGTACAGCCACTATGGAAAGCAGTGTGGATAATTAAAAGTAGAACTACCATTTGATCCAGCAATCCACTGCTGGGTATCTACCCAGAGGAAAAGAAGTCATTATTTGAAAAAGATACTTGCACATGCACGTTTACAGCAGCACAATTCACAATTGCAAAATTGTGGAACTAACCTAAATGCCCATCAATCGATGAGTGGATAAAGAAACTGTGGTATGCATATATGATGGACTACTACTCAGCCATAAAAAGGAATGAATCGACAGCATTTGTACTGACCTGGATGAGATTGGAGACTATTATTCTAAGTGAAATAACTCAGGAATGGAAAACCAAACATTGTATGTTCTCACTGGTACGTAGGAGCTAAGCTATGAGGATGCAAAGGCATAAGAATGATACAATGGAGTCTGGGGACTTGAGGGGAAGAATGGGAGGGGAGTGAGGGATAAAAGACTACAAATATGATACAGTGTATAATACTGGGGTGATGGATGCACCAAAATCTCACAGATCACCACTAAAGAACTTACTCATGTAACCAAATACCACCTGTATCCCAATAACTTATGGAAAAATAAAATAAAGTAAAAAGAAAGATCGAGGGGAATCACAGAGGTAAGAGGTACACATGAAATTGACTTCCATAGTCATATTTTCCATGGGAGCTTTTGGTAAAGCTGCCTGATGCCAATCTGGTATTTATGAGTTTCCTCCCCTAAAAAAAACCCAAAACTAAGGTGTTCTTAAGGTTAAGGGGTCTATTGGTACACCCCCAGCCCCCATGAAATGATTTTACTATACTGTTGTAAAACTATGATTGGGAAGTTTCACGATTTCCTCTAACATAAAAGTACCACGGAAAGGTTAAGACAAACCAACTGCACAACTTGGTATTTCTTAATTGTAATCAGTTGAGGCCTGTGATTCAATCATTATGGATATCATTTTTTAAACACATGCTATATACCAGGCATGATATTAAATATGTCATGTATACTAACTTTATTCCATGAAGCATTCTACAAGGGGTTTATTATTCACATTTTACAAATGATGGAAATGGCTCTAAAGGCTGGGCATGGTGGCTCATGCCTGTAACCCCAGCACTTTGGGAGGTTGAGGTGGGAGGACTGCTTGAACCCAGAAGAAGTGCTTGGGTCTGGGAGGTCAAGGCTGTAGTGAGCTGTAGGTCAAGTGGTGATTGTGCCACTGTACTTCAGCCTGGGCAACAGAGCAAGACCCTGTTTTGAAAATGAAAAAAAAAAAAGTGGCTCAGAAAAATCTATTGGATTTGCCAAGACCAGATTGCAAAGCCAAGACCCAGGATGCCTGCCTCCACAGTTTCTTCCACTATACTTCTTATAGCTGGTATCAGTGTCAATATTGCTGGCAAAGTCCTGTTAGCAGAAAAGTAATTAGGTTCCTGAGAGGGAATTGAACAATGGAGAGAGCTGTAATTGGGGTCTCAAGGGAACCATGAGGAAGTAGTGCATAAAATTTTAGAGGAGAGGGCATAAGGAAGTGGAAAGGTAGGAAAATGGAAGACTTCTAAGACCAATTTCCGTCTTCTATTATTGGCTTTCTCTTTCTGTGCAGTGCCTCCTGTGAAGCTTAGGGTAGTAGCACACTGCAACCAGGAATCTCTATGAACATGAAAAAGAATAATATTGCCTCTTCTGAGCACAGTGGCTGAAACAGAATTACTGACTAAAATTCAAAGTGATAAGTGAGCCTATCTTGGCAAGGCTTTTGAGATTTCCCTTTCATCTTTCAACACTAGAGCTGGGAATTATCAACTTCCAGTTGTTTTCCAGCTGTTTTCCTTGAATCTTAGGGGACCACAAAAGACAAAATTGGAGGCCGAAGGGCAATGCTTAGGCCATAATGCCACCTAAGCATCAACCAAAACACCTTAATTTATATTTTATTAGGAAATCATTTGGAAAAAAGTAGTTATTCTATTTAGAAAATAAAAAATAAAGAAGGAAAAAAGTTACTTTTGTATTTGATGGGAGAACAGTCTTAGGCTCAAAGAAGCTGTAAATAGTTAAAAAAAATTAGGTTGCCTTGAATATGAGAGTGAAATTTAGACAATAGATCTTCATATGCCCATGTCAGTGCTAATTCCACATATAAAAAGGTTTATTTTTCAGTATTTAAAATACTTCCTAAAATTTAACGTAATATTTTTCAGTATTGCATCAAATATTAAAATCAGCTTTCTACAGCATCCCTAAACAATGACACTTCATGTCATACTGCAAATCTACAGAGACTGTCTTTGACCAGTTGAAGCTGGCTTCTTGGAAAAGACCTGAACTTATACAGTATTTGATCATACAGTATTGATTGAGACCCATCCTGCTGCTGAATGAATTTGTTCAATCCTCTCATTTTCAGAGGAACTGCTACAAAAATCATTTTTTCTCTTGGTCATTGTTGTTCACATTGTGTATGCTTCTTTGATTTATTCTATCTCAGGCAAAGGGACAGACTGATTCTTCTGCCTAGGCTGTTCTGATTGGTTGCTTTGGGATATCACAGAGAAAGCCCTAAGGACCAATTCTGATCATGCATGTTTGAACTAATTTAAAATGCCACTGTTATTGCATTTAGTTATTATTTTTATTGAGGTATAATACGCAAACACAAAGTTCACAGATTTTAGCATACAGCTCAGTAAATGTTTACATATAAATGTAATTATGTAACCAACAACCCAAATAAAAATAAGATCATCCCCAGCACCCAGGTTTTCAGTGCTGCTTCAGAGTCAATAACTGTCCTCTGCTATGAAGTAACCAATTTTTTATTTCTATCATCACACATTTATTTTACCTGTTATTACATTAATAGAATCATGCAATATGTACTCTGTTGTGTCTGTCTTTTTTCATTCATCACTATCTCTGTGAAATGTATCTATGTTATTGTATGTATCAATAAACTCTTTCTATTATTGCTGAATAGGTAACATTCCACTGAATGATTAAAACATAATTTGTTTTTCCATCTTCCTGTTGATGGGCATGTAAGTTGTTTCTAGTTTTGGGCTATTACAAATCAAGTTGTTATGGACATTCTTAAATGTATGTTTTGGTGGGCTTATGCACTCACTGGTTCTTGGGAATATGCCTAAAAGTAAAATTAATGATCATAGTTTAAGCTACTGTTTGACTTGAGTAGATACTGCCTAATAGTTTTCCAAAGTATTTTAACCATTTTACATTTAACCACATCCTTTTCAATATGTATTTTCATTTTGCATCGTAGGTTTTTTATTTTTATTTTTTTATAAACTGGGTCTCATTATATTACCCAGGCTGGAGTGCAGGGTTTATTCACAGGCATGATCATTGTGCTCATAATGCACTGACACGCTGGAACTCCTGGGCTCAAACAATCTTCCTGCCTCAGCCTCCAGAGTGGCTGGAACTACATGTACACACCATGGTGCCCAGCTTTCTGCATTGTAGTTTTGTTTTTATTTTTATTTTTTTTTGAGACAGTTTCTCACTCTGTCACCCAGACCGGAGTGCAGTGGTGCAAGCATAGCTCAGTGCAGCCTCGACAACCTGGGCTCAAGTGATCCTCCTATCTCAGCCTCCTGAGTAGCTGGGAGTACAAGCATGCATCAACATACCCAGCTAATTTTTTTTTTTAATACAGAGATGAGGTCTCACTTATGTTGCCCAGGCTGGTTTTGAACTTCTGGGCTCAAGCAATCCTCCTGCCATAGCCTCTCAAAGTGCTGGGATTAGAGGTGTGAGCCACCAAACCTGGCTTGCAATGTAGTTTTGATTTGCATTTCCTTAAAGGCTGATGGTTTGAACTCCTCTATATATGCTCATTGACCATTTGAATACTTTATTTTGTTAATTGCCCATTAAATTATTTTGTCCATTTTTTTAAATGGGCATTTTATCTTGTTATTATATTCTTTATTCTAGTCTTTTGTGGAATATATGTACTGGAAATATCTTCATCCAGTTTATGGCTTGCCTTTTTAAATTTTTAATGGTGTATTTGGATAATTCGAAGTTTTTAATATTATTGAAGTGCAATTAATCAATTATTGGCTTAAGGTTAGTGCTTTTTCTGCTGTGTTTAAGAAAATTTCTCTACTTGACACACAAAGAATCTTCTATGCTTTCTTCAATATTTAGGTCTATAATTTATCTTGAACAGTTGATTATAAAATTTCTCTATTGTATAATGTAGTGGTCAAGTTTCATTATTTTTTTCTTATTAGTTGTCCAATATGGAGTCTAACTGCTCCCTATTATTTATGGAAAAGACCACCATTTATTCACAAAATTGCACTGGTACATCTACTGCAAAGCAGGTGACTGAATATGTGTGAGTCTGCTTCTAGACTTTCTGTTCCATTGGGAGATTTGTCTTTATTTGCACTAATACATCACTGTGTTAATAGTTACAGTATTTCAGTAGTATTTGACAGTCTCAGTCCATAAGCTTTGTTTTCTTCTTTACAATTGTCCATTTATCCTACGTCGTTTACATTTTTATATACCTTTAGAATTAACTTGTCAATTTATACACCTCCATGCATATATGGTCTGAGATATTGATTGGAATTGTATTAATTTTAGAGATCTATTTGGGGAAAATAGAAATCTTAACAACATTTAGGCTTCCAATCCATAAAAACAATTTATCTCTTTGCCTTTTTAATTTATCACAGCAATATTTTTAAATGTTAATTTAAATATCTTGCCCATATTTTGTTGGATTTACTTCTAGATATTTAAAATTTGATGCTATAGTAAATGGTATTAAAATATGTCCTACAGAAAACCAAACACCTCTCATGTTCTCACTCATAAGTGGGAGTTGAACAATGAGAACACATGGACACAGGAAGGGGAACATCACACGCCGGGGCCTCTCAGGGGTGGGAGGAAAGGGGAGGGAGAGCATTAGGACAAATACCTAATGCATGAGGGTGCGGAGCTTAAAACCTAGATGATAGGCTGATAGGTGCAGCAAACCACCATGGCACGTGGATACCTACGTAACAAACGTACACGTTCTGCACGTGTATCCCAGAACTTAAAGTAAAATAAAATATATGTATATGTTATAACTAGTTCATTGCTAGTGTACACAAAGGCACTTTCTCTTTGCCTTTGGTGTTCAGCAGTTTGACAATAAAATTATTTGATATGATGTTCTTTACCTTTATTCTGCTTGATATTTGTTGTTTTTTTGAGAATAAGTATAACTTTCATAATTAAAAAATTATTAATAATTGTCTGCTTAAATATTATTCTGCTCTCTTTCTTCCCCTTCTGAGACTCTAAAATACACAGTCAGACCGTTTCAGTGTGTCCCACATATGTCTTCTAGTCTGTTCTTTTTTTTAATCATTTTTTTCTGTACTGCGCTTTGTTTTTCTTTTCAAATTATTTTAATATATTATCACGTTTGCTCCTTATATCAATTTTGAAGGGTGAAAAGGTAGATGTCATTATTCCTTTTTTACAGGTGAGGACACTGAGGACTGAGAAATGTAACCAGTATGCTGATCACCATGCATCAAATTGATTATTGAGCTAGGAACTTTTAACTTAATATGCTGTCCAATAGACCAAACCTCATTAGAATGAATTCTAAACTCCTAAGCAAAAAAATATCAGAAGTGTCCTCAATTAAGAAGTGACTCCCTTCAAGATGTAATTACTTGAGCAGTATTTATCCTGTGATATAATCTCAAAATCTCATATCGATAGAAATGCAAAGTGACTCTTCTATATACCACACCAATGCCAGGAGATTCAGAGATTATAAACTCAGTAACTAATTTTATACTACAGAATGGTGTTAGGACACTATGGTTCACTACATAGTATTGCATACCTCAGGTGACAGCTTTTTTCGTAACTAAGTCTTGGGTTTGAACAAGTCTCTCCCTATCCCTCCCTTCCCTTTCCCCTTCCCAGCCGCTATTATCCTCTGTTCTACTTTTTACTTTTATGAAATCAACCATTTTTTAGCTTCCACATATGAATGAGAACATGTGGTGTTCAACTTTCTGTCCCTGGTTTACCTCACTTAATGTCCTCCGGTTCCATTCATGTTGCTGCAAATGACAGGGCTTCCATCTTTATTATGGCTGAATAGTCTTCCACTATGTGTATATACCACAATTTAAAATCCATTCATCTGTTGTACACTTAGATTGATTCCAAATCATGACTATTATGAATAATGCTGCATTGAATATAAGGGTGCAGATGTCTCTTTGATATACTGATTTCCTTTCCTCTGGATAAATTCTTAGTAATGGGATTACTGGATCATGCAGTACTTTTATTAATACTTTATTGAAGAACTTCTATCATGTTCTTCATAGTAGCTGTACTAGTTTTAGTTTACATCCCCACCAATGTAAATAAGAGTTTCCTTTCCCCTGCATCCTTGCCAGCATTTGTTATTTTTTTGTCTTTCTTATAGTAGCCATCCTTACTGGGATGAGATGATACTTCATTTGGGTTTTAATTTGCATTTCTCTGATGATTAGTAATGTTAAGAATTTTTTCATATATTTGTTAGCCATTTATATGTCTTCTTTTGGGAAATGTCTGTTCAGATCATTTGCCTATATTTAAATCAGATTCTTTGTTTTCTTGCTGTTTTGATGTTTGAGCTCCTGGTACATTCTGCATATTAATTCTCAGTCAGATGAGTAGTTTGCAAATATTTTCTGCGACTCTGTAGGTTAGCTTTTCACTCTGTTGATAGTCTCCATTTCTGTGTAGAAGCTTTGTAGTTTAACATAATCCCTTTTGTTTATTTTTGCTTTTGTTGCCTGTGCTTTTGAGGTTTTAGTTATAAAATATTTTTCCAGACCAGTGTCCTGAAGCATTTCACCTATGTTTTCTTCTATCTCTACTACACTTTTAATATTTTCAATTGGTCTGCCTTCATGTTCACTGATGCTGTCTTCTATTGTATCCAGATGTTAAACTGATCTGTGGTAGATTGAATGCAAACATGGTCTCAAGTTGCCACTGTTCCATGCATTTATATCCTTTGCAATGCAAATCTGAAGTTTCTTTTTTCAAGAAATTGAGTCTGTTTTCCTACACTTTCATCTGGACTGGCATCTCACAGTTGTTAAATTAGCAAATATCTTGAGGTGGGGACCATGTGTTTGTGTAACTTACCTAGGCAGCCACAATCTTATAATATCTTCTTCATCTTAGAAGACATAATATTGTACGCCTTTTTTATTATGTGGGTGATTTCATTCTGTCTTTTAGAAGACAGATGATATTTCTAGTATCCCTTCCCACCAAAATTCAATGACTTACCCATGAGAAAAACTGACCATGTTTTGGGACCCTTCTGGCTTTCAATCCATTAAACCAGTGCCATACAACCACCATGATTCCCACTAGTTTCTTTCCTCCCAGTAGCATCTGTTTATCATGATCTGGCTTATACACAGAATCAGAAAATGACCCTGGGGAGGTAAACATTTGGTGATCTGCTCACCAAAACAGAACTCTTCCCTTTCTTGAATTTTAGTTGATCTAATTTCTGTTGCTTCAATAGCTCTCCAATGCATTTTAAAATATGTCTTGCAATTTATCTTTTTTCCCCTTGGTCATTGCAGTAGAAACATTGGTCTGTTGTGACCTATTGCATGTTACCCGAAATGAGCTAAAAATGCAATTTTTAGACAGAAATGTCAAAGCTTTGGGGGGGGGCAATCTTAGTAAGAACATAAAGAGTAATTATAACAGTATGCTTATGATATGACCCTATAGACTTCAGGGAATTGGGAGAATGCATTTTTCAAACAGAGCAAGTAAGGATTAGCTTAGCTCTAACACCACGTTCATTTAATGGTGGGTGCTGCTACACATTTTTGGTGAGCTACTCTCATCCCCATTAAGCGTTTCAGATTCCATCTCCCTGTCAGTCCTGCCTTTTGCACTATCCACTTTGCCTCCAAAACCATTCCTTTCTGAGCTTTGTGGAGATGCAGCCCTATGAGTCATATATTTAGATTTTCTCAATTCAGGAAGAGCTCCAGTTTAATTTATAGTTGGTTTTCAACTTTGTTCATATGGCTGGTTCATTTCACCAGTTTGACACTCTTTGTCTACATAAATAATAGCTTGAAACATGGCTAATTTCTCAGTTTTAAAAACCACCTGGTGAAGACAATCACTATCCTTTGTGTGGGTATAGCTTCTTAGGGCATAGCACAGGCTTGTGTTCTAATAGGTGGTTCTGTGGAGTAGGAAAGTGACTTCTCCTTTCAGGTAGGATGTGGAAGGTTGTAGTCAACCACTGTTCCCTCTTTTACAGATTAGAAAATTGAGACACAGTGAAAGTCCTCAAATAATATTCCACTGGAATCTAATTTTTTTAAAGAAATATTTCTATGTGGAAATTATAACTTTATTTTTAAGTCTAGAAAATTATCTCAGAGATAGGAAATTTATCTCAGTTAGTAAGTACCAGTACTATTTAAAACCAGGACTATAAGACCCCAATCCTTGCTCTTTCTATTATGCTAGGAGAGGTTTTTAAGCTAACAAGAGACAAAATCAGGTTCCAATAGCACATTTTGTGACTCTAAGACCAGAATACTTTATTACATCTTGCACTGACTCCTAAGAATGCATCTCATTATTCTTAGATGACAAATTTTCCAGGTGTCAACAGAGGCAAAAGACTGAAAAAAAAGTGAAGAAGATGGTTATTGATAGCATCTATTTCTGATGCCTGTGAATTATCAGTTCTAAGAAAGAAAAAAAAAGAAGCAGGATTTGCAACACCAGGGCTTTCTGATTAGCACTCTAGCCAAAAGGCAGTACCATCTGACATTGTGCAAACATACTCCATCTGTCCAATGTTTGGATAGGCATGGAGTGGGAGAGGAAGCAGAGGAATTTATCTCAGATGTAAGTAATGGCTGAGCTGTCTGGCAGAGTCATCCCTGAACTACAGCCACTGCTGCTGGGCCAGCCTGATTGATTGATTTCAAAGTTTGCTCTGCACAAGGTTTTTCTAAGCCACGCTATTTCATTTTCAAAGCCTATATAAGAAAAGAGGATGAGAAAGTGGAGGAAAAAAAGAGATGTCCTAAAGGCCTCAAGAAAATTAGAAATAGTCATACCTTCTGGCCAGCACAAAATAAGCATCATAATCAACCTCTAAAGAAGGAAATGCTAGGGCTGAAGATGCCAGCCAGGGACCTCCCTGAAGCCTGTGAAGGCTTGAGCTTCCATAAGGAAATGGACAAAATTGCTCTGCAATGTGCATCCCCGATCAATATTTCATTATCAATCTGTTATTGTTTGTAAGAATTTCCACTTCAGACTCCTAACGGCAGTCAGTAAATCTTGCTGATCAGTGCAGTCTTCTGAATGAGGGCAATTTTTCACCAATCATCTTTCTCAGATTTGGTAAAATGGGCAGCAATTCATGTTCCTTCTCTGGTTCCCAGCCTATAAGTAAGCAATCTCCTTTTGATTATCACAGGCCACTACCTTTTGGCTTTCACATAAAGTCCATAAATGTTGATGTCCACACACTGTGACATTTTTAAGTAGAAAAGTCAAATGGTAGTACCTGGTACACCAGGTTGTCAAGAAATCTAAAAGTAGAAAGAGATATTTAAGTCATCTAATGTATATTTTAAATTATTCATTCATTCATTGATTTGTTAAATAATTATTGTTTTCTGCTATTTGTCATGTACTGTGCCAGGGACTGGGAATTTAGCAATAAATGAAAGAGGTGACTTATATGAATAATTCACATTAACGATACAGATTTGGGAAATGATTGGGCTATAAATTGGGTGGATACCTGATTAAATAGTTACTTTCTGGGAAGACATTACAGTTGAGTAGAGACTTGCATGAACAGCAGGAGCCAACCACATTAATAAAAAAGGGACATATTCCAAATGGAGAGAAATATAAAGATAAGTCTCAAAGTCAAGAAAGACCTTGGTTTTGTCAAGAACAGATAGATCAACATGCCTGGAAATGTTTATTCCATGATGATTCTAGTTTTTTTTTATCATTTAAAAATATAAAGAATTTATTTTTACCAAGACACTAAAAACCAGGACTATCTAAAACAAAAGGCCACTGTGAAAAGAGAATGTATTATTCCAAATATTTATTAGGGCCTTGGTCAAGGAGAGTGAGATATTTAAAAAGTCTTTGCTTTTTTGAGGGCAGCTGCTTTCCCTGGTGAGCTCCTTGTGTCAACATGGAAAGTACCACCAATGTGATGGACTGCACAAGGCAGTGGATGGGGCACTTTTAAAAGTCTGTGCTAATCAGGAAAAAGTATGCCTACATCTTATCATTACTCGTTCTTTTTTTTTTTTTTTTTTTTTTTTTTGAGACACAGTCTCACCTGTCGCCAGGCTGGAATGCAGTGGCATGATCTCGGCTCACTGCAACCTCAGCCTCCCAGGTTCAAGCGGTTCTCCTGCCTCAGACTCCCAAGTAGCTGGGACTACAGGCATGTGCCACCAGGCCCAGCTAATTTTTGTATTTTTGGTACAGGTAGGGTTTCACCATGTTGGCCAGGATGGTCTTGATCTCTTGACCTCATGATCCGCCCACCTTGGCCTCCCAAAGTGTTGAGATTACAGCCGTGCCTGACCCTCATTACTCATTTTTAAAACACTGATTATATATCTACCATGTGCCAGATCTCATTAAGCCTTGAACATATTATGATGAATAAAAATGTTAAGGGACATCATGAAGCTCATTCTAGCCACAACTCTTCAAACTGCACCATGGATCATTTTTGAAAGGTAAGAAAGATCCTTTATTTTTGTAAATATTCCTAGAGTTCTTGGGCCATAGCAAAGATCTAACAAGGGAATAAAATTATTCAAAAGTTGTTACCCAGTAAAACAGTAAGTAGGAGAGAACTGTGGCCATACCAGCCCTACCCCTCACAGAAAGAAAAATCTCCATGGCTGGAGATGCTCCTGCTGCTCAGTTTCCAAGGCCAACAATTGACAACCTAATTTCTAACACAGAAAAATGAGGCCAAGGTGTTTATATGACCATGCCCAAACTGAGTAAGTCAAAGGGATATGACACCTTTCACCATCTGTGAGTCATGATGTCCTGATATTCAGAGTCATCATAATAAACAAACCTGTATTAGGTACTTTTGTGACATTTACCAAAAAAGAGGACTCAGAAAATTTTAATGGTCTGTCCTGGGAATAACATAGAAGAAAAAAAAAAAGAAAAAAAGCTCATTAAAAAAATTATTTACTGCAGATGGTGAAACATTCCTTATAAAATTAATAAAAAGAAACTGCTGGGTTTCTATCAAAAGCATGAGCTTTGAGTAGAACCATAGCTAAGCATTATCTAGCTTGCCCTATGAACCCACTTTTTAAAATAGCTGCTTACTGCTTAAAAGTCACATAGTCCCTGTCACAAGGTCTTAACTTCCCTTAATTGCTTTTACAGATAACATCTTTAACATTAAGAAATCTCAAGTTTTCCATTTGAGAAATCTTCTGGATTCTGCATTCCAGTGGTTCCACTGAAGCCAGTAGGGCTGAATACCCCATGTAGGAACAGACTCAGCACAAGAATGTAGGTTCTACATTCTTATCATTTCATTCCCCATGCCCTAACCAATCAGTGATCCCAATTCCTCAGCCCACTATTCTCCAAAATTTCCTTAAATATGCCCATCCAAAACCCCTCAGGGAAGCAGATTTGAGGTTCCCTTCAGTTCCCTTCTTTGGTTGCCCTATGATTATTAAACTATTTCTCTACTGCAACTCTTGCTGTTTCAGTGTATTGGTCTGTTATCATGCTGTAAGCCATCAAACCTGGTGGTCCTATAACAGTTCAAGGCCATTTTTGATAAAATACACAAAAATTGGCATTGCACATATATAGCTAAGATGCTAATGGTGGTTTGTAATATGCTGGACATTTTTATGTTGTTTGATTTTTATTATGTTTTTCACAAGTGGCAGGAGTCAAAGCTGTTTGTCCTGCTGGAAGGTTCTATATTAGAGTTAATTATAAATGGGTCAGTCTTTTCCTTGACTTTGACATTTTGGGGAACAAGAATTGTACTGTTTGTAGTCTTGAATCATTAATAACTAGCATAGTGATGACAAATAACGAAAAATAGATGGCTACTGCATAAATGAATGAATGATTGGATGCATGACTCCATGTGGTGACCCAAGCCTTGAAGTTTGTTGGTTACTGCTATAGATCTAGCCTCAATGGAAGTTCTGTGTCTTGTATCCCTGCTTTAAATTTTTAGTAAGGTCTTCAAAGATTCTTAGCAAAGGTTAAAAAAAAATAGAAAAAGGAGATGAAAGGTTAAAATACATGCTATCCTATTTCTCTCAGGTTACACTATGTTTTCAAGATCCATGCCTCTTTTTCAAAGCACTGAGCATGTTTCAACTTTCCAAGTCGTTAGAAATAGGAAAGAGGCAGGAGAAAATGCAAATCAGCTCTTGGCTTTCTAAAGGAAAGAGGTCTTTGATTTGCACATTGTTTCAATTCTTTGATTATCAAATTCTAAATAATGCCTGAAATAGCAGCTCAGAACTAAGCTTGATTCTCACCAGCAGCCCAGACAAGGTGGTCATTGAACCAGACACCACTGCAGCCATGCACGGAACCATTTGGAATGAAGGTAGGTTGAGCCAAGCCTGTAATCACCTAGCTTTACAAAGAAGAAGCTTCATTTGAAACACACATTGCTTCCTGTGTGCCAGCTATTTATTCCTTTTGTTTTCAACCAGCTAGCAAATCAGAAGAATTAAGGGGATTAAAAAGCAGAGGAACTCATGACTTTATGCATTAAAACGGGGGTAGTGTTGAATGAAACCATTTCTGGGCAATGCCACTGCATAAAAATGGACTGTGGAAAGCAGCCCAAGGGGAAGAAATACTTCAAGTTTGTTCCCTCCTTTCACTCTTGCTCAACACACAATGCAAGACCAGATATGTTTCAGGATGAAAGCCCAGAAGAGATGCTAGTCAAGTTCACTTAAGTTTAGCAATCTGCAGGGTCTCTGCTGCAGAGGGTGTGGAGAGGTGCATTGCTGGCAGTCATGCAACTTGGTACAACATTTTTGGAAAGCATTTTGGCAATATTATCAAGAGCATTAAAACTCCTTTGATCCATTAAATCCACTTTGGAAAGCAATCCTGAAGAATTAGCTCACAATTCACATAAAATCTTATGTGCATGAGTATAGATCAAAGCTTATCCATAATACAAAAATATAGGAAATAAATATTTGCCAAATGAGAGAATATTTAGAAATTTTTTTGAAATAATATTTAACCCTTAAGATTATGTTTGCATAAAAATGGGTAGTGAATCAGGCAAAATTGAAAAAATATGTGGAATTCAAAGATGAGATAGTAAAATTTGATTCGTTTGTTAGATTATGGGGACACTATAATCTATGTAATAGAAAACATCAAGTACCTTAATGTTAAACACCTTATTATTTGCTTGAATTACTGAATGCTTCTTTGTTAATGTTAAAATCAAGGTAGCTAAGCAATCGAGTTATTTGGTGTTTGCGCTGTTTCCTAAATTGTGTCCAAAAAATGTGCAAGGGAAAATTTTTGATATTGGGCATAGATTAAGTAGTAAGAGGACATGGAATTTATGTCATCTCCCAGTATATGTGTGTGTGTGTGTGTGTGTGTGTATCTGGTGTGGTGTGTGTGTCTGTGTTTTATCTGATTGTGTTAAATGAAATTGTGCACATTTGATTAAAAAAAGAGCTTGGAGAATCCTAAGCTGTGACTATTTTCTTCTGCTTTTTGCTAATGTGTAAGCATGGGCAGCCTGAAATAGTAAACTGCTGGGGCATGATACCTAGCACTAGAGGACTTGGCTCTTCCACTTTCTAGAAGGTGTTGCGGTATGATATTTAATATTTTTTAAGTTTCCTTTTGTCTTTAGAAAAATAAAGGCTAGGCCGGGTGCAGTGGCTCATGGTTGTAATTCCAGCGCTTTGGGAGGCGGAGGCAGATGGATCACCTGAGGTCAGGAGTTTGAGACCAGCCTGACCAACATGGTGAAACCCCGTCTCTACTAAAAATACAAAAAATTAGCTGGGCGTGGTGGTGTGTGCCTGTAGTCCCAGCTACCCGGGAGGCTGAAGTAGGAGAATCGCTTGACCTCAGGAGGTGGAGGTTACAGTGAGCTGAGATTGCACCACTACACTCCAGCCTGGGTGACAGAGCGAGACTCAGTCAAAAAAAAAAAAAAAAGAAAGAAAGAAAAGAAAAGAAAGGAAGGAAGGAAGGAAGGAAGAGAAAAAAGAAAATGAAAGAAAGGAAGGAAAGAAAAGAAAAGAAAGGAAGAAAGGAAAGGAAAGGAAAAGGAGGAAAAAAAAGAAAAATAAAGGCTAATAATACCTTCCCTGCATAACCCATTAGTTTTGGGGATCCAAGGAGTATGTGAAAGAATTTCACAAACTTAATAATTCTAAGGCTGCATTTTTAAAAGCCATTTCACATTCAAGTGACAGACATGAAGAAACTTTTAAAAATTAATCATAACACCTGTATTCAACTTAAAAATAAATCATTTATGTCAACACTGAAAATATATAGTGTAAAATTATATCAATTGTGCCATCAATTACTTCATTTGGTTTGTAAATCAATATCTACATCATGTCCACATACTACATTTGACTGCTAAGTCTCTTGAGTGTATTTTAACCTATAAAATTCCCCCTCTCAGTCTCTGTCTCTCTCTTTTATTCTTTTTTTTTCTCTCTCTCACTCCTTTCCCCACTATCCTCGAACATTTATTTGTTGAAAAAACCAAGTCCTTTTTCCTGTCACGTTTCTCACCTTCTGAATTTGTCCATATGGTGTCATATAGCACGTTCTATCCTTTGTAAACACTGGGCCTTGATAGAGACTTAATGAGATTCATGTTTGATTTTTTTTCTCAAAAATACTTGCCTACACTTCATTGCTTTAATAGTCACGTATTATCTTGTTGCCTCTCTTTTATGATGTTAATATTTATCAATAGGTTCAGGAGTTGTCAATTCAATTCGTCCATTTTTAAATTCTCCATTAGTGTTTCATCTAGTAGTTTTAGTAGCCACCAAGGATTATTGTCTAGATTTATAATTATATTAACGGATGGCAAAATGATGATATCCTTCCATTATTTCTGCTCTTGTCAGCTGTGGAATTTTTCTATAAAGAAAAGCTTGTATTTCTCTACTATTAAATTACTCTGAAACCTAATTGGCATGGGAAAGGCAGGATAAATGCATGTGTTCCCCTGCCCCCATTTTTTTGCTACCAGTTTTTTAAATACTGAATTTGTGCCTTAAAAATTTCCTCAAGTGATCAGTGAGATGTATTTTTGTGTCACTATGAATTCAGAAATGATGATCTTGAATCTTTTATAACCAAACTTCTTTTTGATGCTCAAATTGTTTATTCTTTTCCAGTGGAGGTCTTTCAGAATGATGCCTATGTCCTTTTACAGCATAACCCCAATATACATTAAAACTTTCTTATTTTCTGGTAAATATGATCTTTTATGATTCTTTTTGTAAAGATGTCCATTATGTGGACATCATGTAGACATTGATTTACAAATCAAGTAAAGCTCATTTCCTGTCCCAGATCTGGAATAAATCATTTCACCAAAAATTATTGGTTCCTTTTAGTGAAAAATAGTATTCTGAAATTAATTTTCAATTTTGAAATCTTATTATTATTGCTATTGGATATTGTTATCATTGTAGACCATTTCACCGGACAAAGGTAGTAAAAAGTAATTTATTTTTGTAAAGCCAAAATACATTATATGTTCATAAGAAAATTTCCTATTTGAATTTAAGATAGTATTAACTTATTTGATTTTATAGTTTCTCCTCTTTCTTTGCACTAGAAATCTTAAGTTGAAATATTTTTAAGTAATTACACAGTTCCTTTATCTTAAAATTATGTATCTATATGTATCTAGCTATAGAAACAATAACATTGTTACAAAAAATACTAGAGTTCTATAATTAGTATTTAATATTACTAAATACTTGTTACTCATAAAGCTTGGATAATCAAATAATATTTTTAGGCCAGCAAATTTATATAAAGTTAGAATCATTTGCTTTATTTTGTTTTTGAATTTTAGGCATCACTTTTATTTTATTTTGATTTAAGTTTATTTTATAATTTTGGAATCATTTACGTATTTCCAAAGAAAAACCTGTCACACAAGGTAGAGTGAGATAACTCCAGCTTTTATTCCATCCTCTTTACTCTTTTCCATCCCTTCTCCCATATATAATAATTCTTATTAAATTATCTTCATCCGTATCTATATCTCATACACTACAAGCAGTTGAAGAAAATATTACTGAATTAGAAAAGAAATACGAGGAAGTTATCCAAACATACCATATGGATGGTAGATATAAAAAAAGAGCATTTATATCCTTAAATTTTTATTTTAGAAAGCAAGAAAAAATGAGAAATAGTGAGCTAAAACTTCTATTGGGGAAGCTAGAAAATAAAACCAGAGTAAACACAAAGAAAATTATAAAAGGAAAGCTATAGTAAAGTTAAAAACCAGGCATTTGCAAAGTAAAACACAGAGAAACCATAGAGATAATTAAGAAACCCAAAATTGTTTACAAAAAAACTAAAACAAAGCAACAGAAAAACAATACTTCCTGGAAAACAAGGAAAGGTCTGGAAATGTTTACAGAGCAGAGGGGACTAAGGAGATGAGACGATTAAACTCAATATATCCTGGATAGAATCCTGAAACAGAAAAAGAGCATTGTGGGAAAACTAATTACTGTAAATCCAAATAAAGTGTGAAGTTTTAGTTGAGCAATGTATCAAAGTTTGTTCATTAGTTGTGACTAATGTACCATGATAAGGTAAGATATTATCAATATGGGAAAGTGGGTGAAGTGTCTATGAGATCTCCCTGCACTATATTTGAATCTTTTCTATAAATCTAAAATTATGCTAAAATTAAAATTATATTTTAGCAAATAATTATTATGGGTATGTGAGTGTGTGTATGTGTGTGTGTATATATATATATATTCTCTATCTGTAGGATAGGTCTGTTGGAGGCCCTCAAGACAACCTCCATGTTCGGAGATCCTGTAGAACAAAGTATACTCAACATATAATTGTACTCACAGCTAAGATTTATTGCAGTGATAAAGTAATAATATACCTGGATCATGAAGGAAAAAGACACAAGTGCAGTCTGGAGGAGTCCAGGGGCAGATTTCCTCGTGCTTTCTCGCTTCCACATAAAGCTTTCTTTTGTCCCACAGAGCTTTCTTTTGTGTTGCTGCACAAAAGTGCATCAACATGTGTGTTATGGTTGTGTCCGGAGTAGCTTACTCAGTGCTCAAGGTGTTTTCTGGGGATTGCTTATGCAGTTACCCTCTGCCTAGCATGTACCAACATTTCAGACACCCATAAGGAAAGCAAGTATTCATCATAAACCATATTGTCTGCACAGTCTATAAACAGTGAACCACTTTTATCAGTTAGGGAAAATTTCATTTCAGTATAGAGAACTATTTACCAGCCAGGTTCTCAGACACCAGCCAAGGGCAAAACTTGGATGGCGGCATTTCTAAAGATTGCATTCTCAGGTTTGCTACATTAATTCTTTTCTGCACAGTAAGGCACAAATTTTTATTTTTGTTTTGTTGTAGCAAATATATCTCTACATATATTAAGCTGAGTTTCTTACCTTAGTACTTTATATTTGTGATGGTTAATTTTATATTTCAAATGCCTACGCTATGGTACCCAGCTGTCTGTTCAAACACCAGTTTAGATGTTGCTGTGAAGGTATTTTTTTTAAAGATGTGATTAACCTTTAAACAAGTAGACTTTGAGTAAAGCTCATTACCCACCATAATGCTGGTTGTTATCATCCAATCAGTTCAGTGGCTTCAGAGAAAAGACTGAGCTCCACATATCCACCCTACAAAGAGGAAGGAATTCTGCCACCAGGTTGCCTTCAACTCAAGACTATAACACATACTTTTGCCTGGGTCTCCAGCCTGCCAGCCTGCCCTGCAGACTTCAAACTTGCCAGACCCCACAATCACATGATCCAATTGCAATTGTTTTAAATCTCTTTCTCTCTCTGTATGTGTATATTTATATATATATATATATATATATATATATAGAGAGAGAGAGAGAGAGAGAGAGAGAGAGAGAGAGAGATGCATACATATATATGCATATTCTTTTTGTTGTTGTTTAGTTGCTTACAATTCCATTTGGGGAAGATATCATAGTTTACTTCACCAGTTTCCATAATCAAAATCTGGGTAGTTTTCAATTCAATCATTTGATATATCACAGTGTTTCAATGAATAGTCCTATCTTATGTTATTTAATATTGTTATCTATCAGTATGTTTGAAATAGATTCCTAGAAGTGAGATTACTGCACCATATGATTTCCCTTGGCATTTGGCAAGCACACTAAAAATTACTATAATGAATGACCTCACTTACCCTTGGGCATTATTTATTCTTTAGGTCATCCTTTGAAACCAGACCATAAATCATTTTGCATATTTCAAATGCACCATTGTATATTTTAAAGGTTCATATGTGGAAATAAGAAAACATTAAATAAAAGATAAGTTGTATCTCAAAATGTATGGGTTAATTAAGGTAGTAGGGTGTGGAAAGATATTGGCTTGAAATGGAAGGTTTGCACATGGAGAAGCAATAAAATCAGATAGCTAGTTTAACTGGAGGTAAAAGTATGGATCTGTGAAGAGAAACCATACTTCTTGGGAAAATGAGGTCAAAGAAAGTTAAGCTGAGAGACAGTTTAAAACAACCACTCGCAAAATAATAAACAAAATGCATCTTCTGTTTCCAATTAATGTGTGTATACAAAATAATTGTTTGTCTCTATCCAGAGTAACTAAAATATAATTGGATTTTAGATATCCTATATTTTTATGTTAATTTATTCAACAAGAAGATAATTGAAGCAGGAACTGCGGAAATGAGTACTTTGTCCCCCAGGTGCCCTGAAGACTTCAGGCTGATGGAACGAATGTGAAGAACATGAGTCTTTGGGGAAGAGCAGGTTTGGAGGGCAGGAGAGAGACTAGGGAATGAAGACCATGCAGACGGATTTTTCTCAGACCCATGTCCTGGGGGTATATTCAGGAAATGTGACCTATTTCAGAGATATTTTATAGATACTATTCAGGAGAGTTACTGGCGTAAGACTACACTGAAAAGTGTCTTAAGCAGCAACATTGAAATAGATCCACAGACCCCATGGAAAAAAATAACCTCTTAAGAAATCAAAAGAGTGGGCCAGGCGTGGTGGCTCATGCCTGTAATGCTAGCATTTTGGGAGGCTGAGGCATGCGGATTCCCTAAGGTCAGAAGTTTGAGACCAGCCTGGTCAAAAGGGCGAAACCCCATCTCTACTAAAAATACAAAAAAATTAGCTGGGTGTGGTGGCACATGCCTGTAATCCCAGCTACTTGGGAGGTTGAGGCAGGAGAATCACTTGAACCCAGGAGACAGAGTTTGCAGTGAGCCAAGATGGTGCCACTGCACTCCAGCATGGGTGACAGAGTGAGACTCTCTCTCAAAAGAAAAAGAAAAAAAGAAAGAAAGAAAAGAAATAAAAAGAATAGTAAAATGTCACCAAGCTAAGTCATAAAGTTAAGGACCATGTCTGCTTTTGTTCATGGTTATATTCTCAATGCCTAACACAAAACAGATATTCAGGACAACTGGGTCAAAAGAATGAAGACATTAATTAATTTAAAATATGCCAGAAAATAGAACTATAGTTTTTTATAAGAGGCTGATCCTTAGGCTAACATCTTGCTGAGTAACTCATAGACTTGGCCCACATTAGCATCTTCATAAGCATTCTATGAGTGAATATTCACCTCCATCTCCATTTTCTTCCTAGGAGCTGATCATTCTGGTGTAAGTCTATGGGCTCATTTCCTGAGTCTGGTTGACTTTCTGTTTTATAAGGGCCACCTTGCTATATCCTTTCAAAGCATTTTGAGGGACAGCTTTCCCCTCCTCAGCAACCACCTTCTTCAGCTACATTCAAGAACACCCACAGAAAAGCCTTTGGCTGTGGGGAGTCATTTGTTAATCAGCATGGGAATCAGAGGAACAGAGGAACATAGGAACAAACACATGTAGAGGGAAATGGTGTTCATCTTCTCAGCAGTCTTTGACTCCCTTTCTCAGATGGGATCTCGATATTCCAGTGGCTTCCAATCATCCTTGTATCTCAGGTGGCTTTTGCCAAACCTCCCTTCTCCTTGAGACCCTGCACTGTCCTCTACAGCTTGGAGTCAAGCTTATATCGTATAACTCTTTTTATCAGGTGTCCTCTTTCTAGCATAGTCCCCAAAGTACAATTAGAATGAAGCAGCAGGTGAGCGCTGTCATTCACTTACCTGGCCTGACTTGTATTTTACACTTGTGGAGACCTCCAGGCTGAATGACCCCCATCTCCTGACTCACCACCCAACTTCCCACGTCTTCAGAAGTGAATGTTTTGTGCGATGTTAAGAATCCCTCTGACAAGTTAGAATTAACAATAAAACTATTTTAAGATAACCTGCCTAAAAGCTGGTGCCTGAGTTTCCCTATGTTATCAAGTCAGTTTAACGTGCTGTGTAGCTGACTTGGAATTCAAGCATTCAAGTCAAAAAACCCCATATGTAAGAGTAGGATAGAACCAAGTATTCCATTCATCAATTAATCCTCCTCCCGTTCCAAAACGTTTTAGTGATCATGCTAGTTTCCCTTCAACTTTGCTTCTTTTACACTTTAATTCTTGTTCCAGGCTCTCTACCTTTCTCATTCCACACCAGTTCTTTTGAAATTTTATCCACATCATTCTTTTATGGCCAGTTATGTGCCAGTGACAGTCAGAGGTACCCTCCAAAGCTTGGACTGTTTCTAAAAGTTCCTGGCCTACAAGTACATGTATCTAAACGCCACAAGAGTTCCAGTACTGAACACAAAATATCTACCCGGCAACCATGATCCTCCTCCAGGATTCCTTATCTTGGTAAATGACAACAACAGTTTTGTAAGTCAGATATCAAGGACTCATCCTTGTAAATGTATTTTCCCTACCTCCCCACCCATATCCCATCTACAAGGAAGTCCTGTCAGTTTTGCCATCTAAATGCTTCTTGAACCCATCCGTTTGTCACCATCTCTTTCTTAGCATCCTACACAAAGCTGTGATTGTCTCCCACCTAGACTATGGCAATAAGCTCCTAACTCCTCCATCCATGGCCATTCTACTCTCCCTTTCAGTGTATCCTCTGTGCTATAGTAAAAGGGATCTTTTTTAAAAAATTAGATTCATGGGTTACATATGCAGGTTTGTCAGAGGGATATATCGTGTGAATGTGTCACCCAAATAGTGAACATAGTACCCAATAGGTAGCTTTTTGACCTTTGTGCACTTTCTTCTCTCCCCTCTTTTGGGGCCCCTGGTGTTCTATTGTTCCTATCTTTATGTCCATGTGTACCCAATGTTTAGTTCCCACTTACAAGTGAGAGCATGCAGTATTTGGTTTTCTGTTGGTTTTCACTTAGGATAATGGCCTCCAGCTGCATCCATGTTGCTGCAAAGGACATCACTTCAGGGTTTTTTATGGCCGTGTAGTACTCCATGGTGTGTATGTACCACATTTTCTTTATCCAGTCCACTGTTGATGGGCACTTGGGTTGATTCCATGTTTTTGCTATTATAAATAGTGCTGCAATAAACATGCAAATGCAGGTGTCTCTTTGGTAGGCCAAAGGGATCCTCTTAAACACAAATTTTTAGGCACAAATTGCTTTATGTCTCATCTCTCAACTCTACTTTAAAAGTAAAACTTCAGAAACTCCAAACCCTCCTTAAAAATTTTTTTTTTTGCCTTTAAAATAAAGACCAAAGCATATTCTACTCCCTGCCTCTGTCTCCAGTTTCGCTTTATTATTTGCCCTCCCCCCATCCCTTGTACTCTTTACATTACGTTTTGTTTCATTGTTTGATTGTTCGGGTTTCTTTTTCCTGTTGTTGTGCTCTTTTCAGCCACAGGACCTTTGTACATGCTATTCCTTTTTATGTTTAAACTTTTTCTATGTTCTCTTGTTTTAGCTAACTGAAGACCTTACTTACTTCCTCGCTTCTTGTAGATGAAAAGTGATTTAATATACATCATAATGTTATGTATATTATGAACAATGATGATCATTACAGCACTATATTACATAGTAAAAAATGGAAAACATAAATATGTACTCATATTGGAATAATTAAAGAAGTTATAGTATAACCTATGTTGGAGTATCATGCATCACTTTAAACATGCTTTTAACATTTCAATAAACTTGTTTTTCTAAATAAATTTTATTGTGTATGTTTGAGATTTACATCATGATGTCATGGGATACATATAGACAGTAAAATGGTTACTACGATGAAGCAAATTAACATATCTACCATCTTACATATTTACTTTTCTAGGGACAAGAGCATTTAAAATCTGCTTACTTAACAAAAATCCATAATACAATGTAATTTTATTAACTGTAGTAATCATCTTGCACATTAGATCTCTAGACTTTATCCTATATACCTGCCTCTTAGTATTCTCTGACCTACATCCCACCCTGCCCCAGCCCCTGACCCTACTACCCATTTTTATTCTCTCTCTGCATATATTTGACCATTTTTGAAGATTCCAAATATAAGTGAGATCATTATGCAATATTTTTCTTTCTGTGTCTGGCTTACTTCACTTAACACAAAATATGCTTATAAAGTAAGAAGGAAAAATAATAATACATAATTATGTTTTCTATGAAACCTTAATTTTCTTAAAATCAAACAAATATGTATGTTTTTATATGTGTTTGTGCATTTATACACACAGATAAAAAGCCTAGACATATATTCACAAGTATATAAATAGAAATGTCTTGGAGGTGAAATCATAGTGGATATTTCTCTTCTTCACATTTTTGTTTTCTATATTTTGTACGTTACATATGGTACTGCTTTAGCTGTTCTAAGCATTAACATTGAAACTGTAAAATGTAAAACAATGTTTTAAGAGATCAGTGACACACACGTTAGATCTGGAAAGAATGGTGACAGAAAGTCCTTCTGACTTATTCACATTCGGGTAAGAAGGATGGTGGGATCTCATGGCAGGCTGGGCAAGTGCAAATGCTGTGTCAGGAGTGTGGTTGTTGTTCTGATCTCCATCCAGCACACATTTTGATAATGCCACCAGGAAACCTTCTCTAGGGCCATCCTGAGCATGTAAAAATGACTGGCCATTGAAAACATGTCAAGTAAAAAGAAAGCTGGAGACTACCACTTGGTTCTTTTCTGCTTTGGGCCAAACTCTGCATTTGCTTCTCTTAGCCCTATGATCCAATAAACCATGACCCTATCAAATGTGAAACCTCCTCTCCTCTGAAACTGGATTTAAAAAATCAGGATTATGTGTTATGTTTTTCTGGGGTCTTGGATAGACTTTGTAAAACTAGAGGAAAGGGAGATGGAGGGAGGGAGGGAGAGAGAGACTAAGAAAGAGAGAATCTCCTTTTGTAATTGTTGCTCCACTTTAAGACCAACATGAGTCATAGGGGTTCTTGGAAGACTGTTCAAATATTTTAACAAACAATACTAGTTTTTTAAAAATCCAGAGGTATAATAAGCACTTGTCAGGAAGTGAGCCAAGGTGGATCCTCAGCATGGCCCACTGAGCAACCAGCGTACATCTTATTGACTTAACACAGTCAGAGAAACATGAGTTTGAAATCTGACCCTCTTAGACACTTTGTGACTTTGGAAAAGTTACTTAAATGCATTTATGCCTCAGTTTCTACATCATACTTACTTTGAGGGGTTGTTATAAATAATAAAAATGCTGTATGCAACATACCCAACAGACAGAGTACTTAATCATAATTATTTTTATCAAAGGACTTTTAATGCGAACCTGAATGTTTTGTGCTTTGGACTGGATTTTGCTGGAAATAGGAAATAGTGATATTCTGGTAGTCATGGGGTATTATAATCTCAAACCTGTGAACCATCAACAATTATCAAAACTTTTGTTGGACTTATGAGAGAGTTTAGGTCTCTTATTTTATGGAAAGTTATCTGAAAGATATGCAGTTTATGCATCTAGTTTTTGAAAATTCATCCTTTTGTTAAGCTGGACAACAGAGAAGCATTTTGTCTCTTCCTCTCCCTCACCCTTTTGATTCCCCACCATCTGTCTTTACCACATAGAATGCTTTTATTTTTCTTTTTATGAGCCAGCTTAGTCTTATTCTGTTGCCCAGGCTGGAGTGCAGTGGCGTTATCATAGCCTACTACCACCTTGAACTCCTGAGCTCAAGTGACCCTCCCTCCTAAGCCTCCCAAAGAGAGTAATTAGGACTACAGGCATGCACAACCATGCCTGGCTAATTTTTCTCCTTTTTTTTTTTTTTTTTTTTGAGACAGGATCTCCCTGTCTTGCCCAGCTTGTCTCGAACTCCCGGCTTTAAGCGATCCTCCTGCCTTGGACTCCTAAAGCCTTGAGATTACAGGTGTGAGGCACTGTGCCTGGCCAAAATGCCTTTAAATGAAGCACTATTTGGCATTATGGCAAATGCTCATGTGGAGGAATATTAAAAGAAGCATTCTTATAAAAGTTGTGTTTTTTGCAAAAGTTTGTTGAAAACCATGTCTACAACAATCCATGATGTTCTCTTTATTTCTCTCCAGCCCCAGGACCAGTAGCAGTCATGCTTCTCCTGATCAGCAGGTTTCTTTTTAGCTTGTAGAAATGCTGAGGCATATAATTCCTTATTTTTCCTCTTTTTCTTGCTATTATGAAACACACTGCAACATTCTAGAAAGAGTGTTAGGCATTTGCTAAGCATTTTGTTTATTTACCTCCGTCCTCTATTCCTCATATCCTTTATGAATGTACTCTATCACTTTATATATCCTATATCCTCATATTCCTCATATCGTCTAGGCATAGACTCCATTGTATATTTATCCTAGGATCATCCCACTTTTCCTTTTGCCATAACCTCTTTATTTAAATTACACTTTTTTTCTGTGCCTTTATGTAAAGCACCTGAAAGCATTTTCAGAAGAAATATTGTGAAGAAAGAAGAAAGAAAGAGAGGGCAGAAATACGGAAGGAATGAAGCAAGACAAGAAAGAAAAGCACGGAATATGTTAATAAACAGACAAAAGCCAACAAATAAATAATAAACTAATAAACCCTTCAAGGTAAGTATCATGTAGAAACTGTGTCTACTAAAGTCATATATGTGGCAGAGCTGTAATAAAAATATTTTGATTATAATCGATCAAGAATTAGGAAATAGATATTCAAGAAAGACATTATTTGCGGAATGTAAGGGTCATTATCATGGAAAATGGATTTTCAGCAAGGCTATGCATCTTTCCTAAGTGAGTGAATAGCAAAGCTTCAGAGCTTAGACCTTTCAATAGTTAGTTAAGACTTTTCAGGCTCAGCAAAAGGAATTCTTAGTATTGTACTCTGCTGCGGTATCAGAGCTTGTGAATGTCCCATCCTTTCCCTCAATCTTGAGTATGGAATAAGTATGGAGAGCAGGGAGTGAGGGTGCTGCGACTGTCTGCAGGGCCCTTCACCATCCTGAAAGCCTGCCAACCAGTTTGATGCTCTAGCAGAGGGTAAAAAAGCCAGCTTGCAAGCAAGCAAATAAAAGATACTAGATCAAAAAGATCTTTTTAAAGACAGTACATACACCAGCCCCCGGGTATTTCAAATATTTATAATTCTCTACATATTTAATCTTTAAGAGTTCTTGAGATGCTATGTTCAGAATCTGATGCTAACATACCCAGCTCAGTGATACTATCAAAGTCATTGAAGGAACATAGGAGAGAGATGAAGGAAATATATGAAAAAGACAAAATAATCAAAACTCCTAAGGCAGTCCACAGGACTAGAGTCATAGAATGACAAAATTGAAAGAGACCTTGGAAATCTCATCCCTCCCTTTCACAAAAGGAACACTAAGGCATAGAGAGATTTCCCAGCATGTCCGTGTTACTCAGAACTGGATATCTTCGGGGGAAAGAACCTTGGTACTTTCAAATGAGATGAGCAAACAGCGATGCAAGAAATGCAGAATATTATTGCTAATTCCACAGGTCAGAAATGTGACAATTATGACATAAGTTAGGCTGGCCCATACTTTAGCCAATGGGGTAAAATATTAGCTACGTAAGTTAACAATTCCAGCTATCAGTCATCATAGTTATTAAGGGTTTTTCTCTGAGCCACACTAGAAGGAAGAGAAGGAAGTTAGGAGAAGCCCAGGATAAGGACATGGTCTCTGGCTTCAGAGAACTTTCACTTTAATTGGGAAGATGAGGAAATCACAGAAAAATATAATGATTCAGGATTATCCAGCAGTATGTAGACTGTATAGCATTCATATCTATGCTACAGTTTCTCTTGTCCAGCCCAGATTTTTTGAAGGCATTAATCTCTTCTATAAAGCTCTAGAGGTACTCATCCAATATCTGTTAAATTTGTTGACTGCCAACTCCTTTTCCCAGTGAAGTTCATTCCATTTAAGAACATTCCAATCATTCCACAAAGTGTGCATAATTCAAAACATCAAATTGTACATGATAAATGTATACAAGTTTTTCTGTCAATTATAGAAAGTTAAAAAGAACATTCTAAATGATAAAAATGTCCCATTTATATTTACTGTAGATTCCTTTCCATTTTCTTTCTTTCTTTTTTTTTTTTTTTTTTTGAGACAGTGTCTTTGTCTCCCAGGCTAGGGTGCAGCGGCATAATCACAGCTCACTTCAGCCTTGACTTCTCAGGACTCAGGTGATTTTCCCACCTCAGCCTCCCAAGTGGCTGGGAATACAGGTGTGCACCACAACACCCAGCTAATTTTTCTATTTTTTGATGAGACAGGGTTTCCCCACATTGTCCAAGCTGGTCTCGAACTCCTGGGCTCAAGCCACCTACCCACCTCAGCTTCCCAAAGTGCTGAGATGATAGGCTTGAGGATAGGAGAACTCTGATTCTCCTTATATTCCAAAATTGTTGGATATTTTAAGATACTCATTGTGGCTTTCTTCTACCAGACACTGAGTTCCTTCAATCACTTCTCACATAACATGGATCCAGGACCCCCCACTACCTGAGTGCTCTCCAGACCCCAACCCAACACACCCCAACCCAGGTGTGATTTCACTGGCTCAGAATGAGCGGGATGACGGTCTCTTGTTCTGAAAAGTCTATGCTATTTCTATTCTTTTTGCCTAATATTGCATTAATATTTTGGCATCTATATCACATAGTTGACTCATACTGAGCTTAAAGTCAATTAAAACCCCTGTATCTTTTTCACATGTGTTATTGATAAATCCCCCCCCCCAATTATTCATGTCTGCAATTGTTAGTGGTTTTCATTTTTAAATCTACATTTGTGCCTGTTAAATTTCATCATGTTGTATTGAGCCCATTGTTGCAGCTTTTGGAACATTTTTTTGGACTCATTTTTAGCTCTTTTTCCCAGCTCTGTGTCACGCACAGGTTGATTTGGCCATATGCAACATCCAAGTTAAGAACAAAAATGTTGATTAACCTTAGGCCAAAGCCAAGATTCAAGAGTGAAATTCGTTTAAGGTAGAACCTATTCATTAGTTATACGTCTTTGGGTCTTGTCAGTAAAAGTGGATTTGAACGTGAGGCATCCTGAGATTGGATGGCAGTGATCCTAAATGAGAATTTCCTTGGAACCATTGATAACATGAAACAAAGCAAATCTATGTCATGCGTTTAAGATATATTGTTGTTGTTTGTTTGTTTAAGAGAGGGCCCTCTAATGATAATTCGTAATATAGGTCAGGCTTCAGCTTTTTGAGGAATGGTAACTGGCGAGAATAAGGATTCAGTGTAGCAAATTAGAGTGGGAGAGGAACTACAGTTATTGATGGAGATTGGTTAAAATAGATATAGAAATTATAAAGAAAGAGGGATAGATAAAGCCCATATTGGCAATCCTGAAGAGTCTATATAATACTCAGGATTAATCTTTGGCACTGTGGCTCCTGAATCCAGAAGGCAGTACAGTGTCAATTACCACCAGATGATGTGGCTGAATATATCTCTTGTCCCTAGGGATAAAGTTGCAGTTGGACCTATAGCTGGGATCCATTAGATACAGATGTGAACAGCTGGGGCAGCCACCAAAAGGACAGCTCAATCAGAAACAAATACTCTACACTTAATTAACATATAATCCCACATTTTCTATATATTTTAATATAAAAAAATTATAAGGAACCTAGTGAAACCTATATATATAAACATATAAATGTATATTTATATGTTTATATATAATATATAAACCTATAAATGTATATTTACATGTTTATATATAATATATAAACCTATAAATGTATATTTACATGTTTATATATAATATATAAACCTATATATATATATATATATATATATATATAACTTACTTATCATAGCTCTGATCTACAAACTTAGCAATTTTATTAAGGAGGGGTGGAAGAAGGTGGCATAATATTAGTTTTACTTTATTTATTTTTTTTCAATGAACTTTGTGACCCAAAATAAGCCATTGAATTTCTATGAACTTTAGTTTTCTTATCTGCCAAGGGGACCTAAAATGATCTACTTTGCAGTGTTTAGTAAAGATCAAAACTACAAATAATAGTCAGCTGGCACATCATGGTAACTCAACTAATGATAGCTCTTACAAAAGAAAAATTGGGGGGGGGAATCATGAAAATGGGAAAATCAAAGATCGCTATGATTTCAAGCCTGAATGACTAAAAGAATGAATTAAAAATTATGTAAGAGAATTGTTTTCAAAAGCCCTCCTGAAGCCAAATTTTTACCAGCCATTGATGTAACAAGAAGCTTCTAAAAAACGATGTTCAATCCAATTGCCCCTTAGGGTTCCTTTTTGGTAACACTTAATTAACTATAATTATATGTTATTCTATATACTTGAAAGAGATAAGCGTAGATTTCTTTAAGAATATTCTGAATTTGAGCTTTCCACACATCTTCACTGACCTTCACCCCTTCATTTCAAATCAGTGGGGCTTCACTGTGTTCAAAGCATCCCACGTCCTCTTTTTCTGTCGCATGCTAGAGCTAGGGAGAGCGTGAGCACAGCCCCCGCTGGTCCCAGGGCAGAAAGCCGGCAAGGGAAAGGCATCTTCGGGGTCTCCAATAATTCTTCATCGGCTCTTTTAGTATTCTGGGATTTGTGTGATAAAAGATGGCGCCTGTGAGGGCCGTACCGCTTGCTGCCTTCCTAATGATGAATAACCTGGCTCAGATTAATAATTAAAAGTGCACCAGGGAGTCATTCGTGGGATGAGACGAGGTTTGCCTTGTTCCTACCCCTTTCGAAGAGCTGTGCAGAGCTCAACTGTGCGGGAGAAGAAAAAGCAGACAGAAGGATAGAAAGTGTGCTTTGGTGATTAATGCGGAGCTGGTGTCCAGGCGAGGCGCTTTCCTGCCACGGCGATTTCCTCTGCAGTCTTGCTATGTCAGGCGGGCGCAAGGCCACGCCCTCTCCACTCTGGCTCCACCCTATTCTTTCCCATCGTCCGGGCTCCATTGAGTTTAAAATGAAATTACGAATCTCTGCAACATAGCCCCACTGTTGCATTTTAAGCACTTGGCACTCCTTATACTGTTCCTGAGATGCCCATGGTAATGTGTTACAAAAGCACATAAATTAGTGACGACTTACAGGTTGCTCAAAGTCGTGTAGTCCTCCAGAGTCGCCTTGCTGCTTGGCTCTCCACTCTGGCGAGTCTAAATACGCTACTGCCTTCCTGACCCAGAATCCTTCTTCCAGCCTAGAATGTGATTGGCAGGGCAGGAGTTACCGGCTGATAAACGCAACTGAGAGTCTGGATTGCAGGGCAGCATAGACCTATGGGAAAGACCACACTCACACGAAAATATGTCAGAAAGGAATAGGCTTGGGTGGGGTGGGCGGGAGTCAGCACCGGGTAAGCCGAGTCCTTTTTCGGACTAGAAGGATTAGGCTGTGACTTTTCTGTGGTGTTCGGGAAGGTACAGCTTTGGCAAAAGGAGCACAGCTTGGGAACCGAGATGGGGCCATAACTCCTCCTTCCTCCAGATGGTTTTCTGTGCATCCCTGCAAGCAACAACCAAGGAAGAGAAATCCTGTTAGCAGGACTCCCTTGGCGTGCTGGGGCAGCTGCAGCTCTATTACGGTATTTCCCATTCACTCCAAGCCAGCGGCTCAGTGAGGCAGCCAAGTGGAGCTGCCCACTTTGCTGTACCCACTCATTTGACTTATTAGCAAGATGGTAATTATGTTGGGAAAAGATGAAGAGCAACGAGGGGGAGGCAAAGGAAGCAATTTTTTGGCGATGGGATGACAGCCCCCAACCACCTCGGTGTAGGTGACTAGGAGAGAGGGGAGGAGGAGAGGGAGGAAGGTGGACGGTAATTAGCAAATCTGCAATTGTGCCTGAACATCTTGTGTTTTTTTTTGGAAACTTGCTTACAGAGAATGGCCTCTATAATCAGGCCATCCGCCCACTCATCCTTATGAAACAGTTACCCAAGCAAGGCCCAAAGGGGCCCCTTTTAATAAGGAGAGTGCACTTGCTTCTTATGGGTGTTTTTGGGGACAGTTATAGCTGCCTATTGCTTTTAACTAACTTAATGGTGTCTCTTTCAAGAGAGTTAAAGATAAGTGTGTGTTAAATTCAAGAAAGCCTGCGTAGTCTTGTCCACCAGCCAGGGCAAGTTATTCAAAATGAGAAACTTCCTTCACAAGGTCATTCAAAAATATTTGCTGAAGACCTCTTATGCCCTGGGCACTGTCCTAGATGCTGGGACACAGCAGTCAAGCAAGCAGATACTCCTGGGTCATTTACATTCTTGTATGAATGTGGAAAATAAATAAGTGAATAAATATTTTAGATAGTAAAAAACAATGTGAGTGATTAAGGGGTGTGGGTATTTTCTATTGTGTGGTAAGTAAACAACTCTGTGAGTAGGTGGTGTTTTTGCCAAGAGTCAGTTGATAAATATGAAATAGCTGAAGAATGAAGCTAAACACCAACACTGGGGGAAGTGGTATTCCTGGCAGAAGGCAAAGCCATGGAAAGACCCTAAGGTGGAAATGAACTTGGCATTCTGAGGGACAGCAACAAGACAAGAAGGGCTGAGCAAAAGGTGTGGAGGACCGAGGCAAGGCAATAGGAGCAGGCAGGAGGGCAAATCACAGGCCATGTGGACTTGCTTACATTTTATTCCAAGAAAATGGGAAACTATTGAAGGGTCCTAATCAAAAAGGTGGCGTGATCAGGCTCATGTTTTCAACATATACCTCTAAATGCTGAATGGATAATACATCAAATAGGGACAAGAGAGAGTGTGTAGAAAATGGGGGAGTGGGACTGGCTATTGAGCCAGGCAAAAGGTATATAAAGTCTGGCGCTCGAAACAAAACAGGTGGATTACAAAGGAGATGTCTCCACAGCCTAGAGGTGCTAGGACTAAGCAGCTACTGTACATGCCTATTTCACATTGGCCATTGGCTGTGCACTCTAACAATGCTACTTTACTTGTTGCCTACTAGGCTCTGTGAGGTTGGGACCCCCATTTTATAGATGGGAACTCAAAGAAATAAAGTGACTTGTTTTTCATCCCATCTAATAATAGGGAGTAGAAACAGGATTTGAACCTAGGAGTCACATCTGAAGTTCATGTTGTCCCCATTATATCTCACTATCTCTAGCCTGGGGAGCTTAGATGCTCATGTTACCAGGCACCAGAATAGGTCGTAAGCACAGGACTCTAGTCTGGGCTACTGTTCTATCTCCTAAATCTAGAATAGTTCTTGGCAAATAACAGGCTTCTAAAAATGTGTCTGAGTATACAAATGGTTGAATAAACAAATGAAGTTCTCAAGTATTAAATTCAGTGGGTTAAACAACAACAACAACAACAACAACAAACATCTTTTTCTGCATGCAGGAAATATTGGTCCCCATAACCAGGCTGAGTCTGAAATGCAAGTCAAGTATTACCAGATCTTTAAGAGGAGAGATGCAGAGATGGGAAAGAGGGCAGAGACTGTATCATTCAAGGATGACTTGCCTAAGATTACATCATAGAGTAAATAAATGACGAGTGGTTACAGAACTCTCACACCCTCACTGTCAACCCAAGGAAAGGGAGTCAGTCCTGGGAAAAAAATCAAAGGGTCTGAGCTTAAATCCCAGAGATTATCATCAGTTGTCTTCAATGTCCTCATCGCAAAGGGGAATATTATCCATTTCTGAGTGATGTAGTACAGATGAAATAATGAATTGTGAAATAGCTAAGAACAAGCACTGGGTAAATAAAAATTTTGATGAGTTTGTTAGATGTCAGTTTTATTGATGATATTATTTCATCATATAACCTTCAATTTGTTCTAAATATTACTAGTCTATCCATGCAGAACAGAAGTATATAATTTACTCAGAATTCTGAATCTTCTAAAAACATATGTACCCTTGATAAATGTAGCTTGGACGTTTCTTTGGAAAATCTATTCATTAATCCATATAAATTCATTCATACATTTATTAATTCAATAAGTATTTTTAAACATTATACAAATACAAGATAACTGATATTTTGACTAACTCATGAGGACACAGGGCAGAGCATTGAGGATCCAAAGGGACACATATTCTCAGGAGTCTCTGATGTCTTGGAGTATAGTGTGAGATAGAAAAAAAATGTATGGGTAGAAAGGGGATTGTCTAAACCTAGTCCAGAATGATGGAAAGTCCTCATCTGCTAATGGTTATTTTTAGCTGGCAGAGATCATTGCCCAAAGTCTAAGGGTCAGTGCTTTCTTGTGTTTTCCAAATGGTTCTCAGGGTGTCAGAGAGGAAATGGTCAGATGGCCCTCCTAAGGATGAATGTGCTGACTATTCAGTTTCCTCACTACTCTTTTACATGTATGAACTTCTTCCCAAGTCCACCATAAAACCTTTAGTAAAAGCACCAGATCTTCATGTGTTTATTACTGATCTTGTTTATCACAGTTAAATCTTTACTGACAGAAACTAAATGTCAACTAGGATGCCTCCTTATGCCTAAAAGTTTAGTGAGATTGGCTTGAAACCCCATTTACACATCCTTTTGAGGTTCAAAGCCCATCCATCTCATTATTTTACTATTTTAATTCCTGGAAAGCTTAAATTAAATACTGCTTGTTTGCTTGCTTGTGATCCCTTCAGTAAGCCATATTGTTTCAAACAAGAAACCCATATCTTTACTAATTTTCCCAAAAGAAGATCTACCCTCCCATATAAATACACAAGACTGCAGAAGACTTTTTGAAGGAGCTGAAAAGAGAGTTTAGAGAGGAGTAGGGGGCATGGGGAGAAATATTTGCCCAGGCAAAGCAATCAAAACAGTAGAATTTTAGAGTCTTTTTCTCCAAAAGTCCTTTTTGTTTTCTCTGTCATTTGGAGTTCCTCTCTTAGCTCTTTGCCCTCAAGGTCCACTATCCTACCACCGACTGATTGCTTACTCTTCTTCCTCTCTATCCTCTACTCTTCTACACCCTTCCAGGGTAACAAACGAACTTACTTTCTGCATCTTACTTAAAGTAGCTTGCCTGCTTCTCTGTGACTCTTGCCACATCCTACATAGAGGCTTTTGCAATCTGTTTCTATACCAAGTGTTCATCAAGATATTGTTTCAATCAAGGCCATTGTCTCATCCTCGTAGGAAATCAGGTGTTATCTATCAAAGTACTTGTCGGATTTCCATAGAGGTAGGCTCTCTGGGAGTGGCTCCAACCACCCCCTCTACCTCCATCTCTTGTGTTTCTGTCCCTTTATGTTCCAGTCATAATGAATTATTTGCAGCCGGTGCTCACTGGCACTTCCACATTATTGCATGTTCTTGTTCCAAAGCCTGGGAACATCAGCATCTACTTTGTATAGCTAAATCCTGCTTAATTTTTAAATCAGCTTAAAAGTGGCCTGCTTTAAAAAGATTTTTCCATCACTGAGCAATGTCATAGTCCCCTTCCCCTCAAAAATTTGGGTATTTCTGTGACATCTGTGTTAACTTCTACAATCGGCCTTATTGTTTATATTTTAACAGTTTGACCATTGTCTTCTCATCTCTGCACCCCATATCCATACACTGTATGTGTAATTCATATGATGCCTTAAGTAGTGCTGAATGAACAAAAGAATAAATGAATTAACTGACAAATAAATCAATGATGTCATCAATGACTATCTCTTTCATTGTTTCTATAATAACAATATCTATATTTTTTTAAAAAAATATAAATGAGAACACAACATGTATAACATTTTTTGTTTTTCTTGGTTTTTAAATTTTTTTGAATTGCCACAGCTTTAACAGCAACTGGATCAGTTGACTGCAAACACTATGATGTGTTTTGGCCCTTGAATCCTATACATTATGGCATATGCAAAAAAGTCATAATTTCAAGATGATAATTTGAATGGAAACAGATGGTATTTCAGTAGTGGCACACATAGATTCTTGCATCTTGCAGGTCATGTTCCCCACCCCCCCTTGGGAAAATATTACATTTGCCATATTTCTTTCCCCACCTCCCCGTCTCCACCCCTCTGGCCATATGTTTCATAATGAGGGCACTTAAAATATCATAGAATTGGCCTGTCCTCATGATATTTAAAATGTGAAATGTGACAATATCTTAAACACATTTCAAACACATGGCTGCAAAGAAGGAGGAAAAAGAAGCAATGAAAAAAGTTCACACTAAGTTATTTTTAGGGAAGGTCGGCTAGGAGGGAACGGGTATCACGTTAGGGATTTCAGATAGAAAAACTGGCTGCTCTGCCATAATGCATGAAAGATGGTATTTGATGAATGTGTGATCGATGTTTCTGAGAAACAGACCATCAGTCAGAAAATATGTATTTTAATTTATAGAAGCAAAGGGCCTGGGCCACCCAAAGAGTTTGGCTATCTGTTCTCTAGTCTGGAGAGCAGGCGAGAGAAAGGTCACCCATCTGCTTCCCTGGGTGTAATTCTGCTTTGCTGGGATCATCTGCCTGCAGGCCAGCCATGGACGAAACTTGGCTGGGCTTAGCTGTGTTGGCAGCAGGTGAAATATCAGATGGGAAGACCATAAATAATAAATGGGCCCATTTTTCATATTTGGATAGAGAGAAATGTTAATCAAGTTAGGGAAAGTTTAGATCCCTTGTTTTAAACAGCTAGGCTTTGATTAGTTCAAGATTGACCATTCAATCTCCAAAGGCCTTGGTATTTCTCTCCGCCAGAACATGGGGAAAAGCTGACCATATTGAAGGGTCTGTGTATCTCAGTTCCGTTTAGAGGTTCAGCATGTACAGGTCCAGCTGGTCTTTTAATTCTCACTTGTCCTTAGAGTGAGCATGGTAGATGTGAGATCTGCTGTCTTTCACACTGCCTGCTTCTGAAAAACAAAAAAAAAATTATACTACCCATGCTTCCACAGGGGTGTGAGCACTCCAGGAATGCACAGTGATCTGCAGTGAACACATGTATTAAAAAGAAGACCAAAATTCACAATAATTCTGGAAATCAAACATAAAACTTTAAAGAAATATCAAGGCTTTTAGTAGGCCTCTTTACACCTCCAGATCCCTGGGAATATTTTTTCAGTCTCTTCTGTCATTATTCCACCTGGGAAATTGTCGCAGACAGATAGAGGAGGAGCAGCCTTCTATAAAAGCACTGGCTGGTCTATCAGGCTTAGAAAAGCAAATAACTTCTCACTTCATCTCATTGCTTTCCCTTTAAGTATCTGCAGTACAAAAGTCATGTGATGCTTCTGGTCTTCAAGGAATGGCGTTCATTCAGAATTGGAATTTTGTCATGGACAGATAAAATCCCAAGTGGAATCAGAGGAATATCTCTTGGACATCCAACAAACTCATGGTTTGTGGAACCAGTGCTGGCTACTGTGCTCAGAGGAATAAATTCCTTTGGTGACAATGGAATATTTAGTGAAGTATGCTGCAGTTGATCATGAGCACTGATTGCAAATATCGAGCCTGAAAAAAATCTGCACATGTACCTCTTTCCATGTGTCCTTTACATTGATGCCAGAATGATTCCAATCTGATCATGGCACTTTTATGATCACAAATGGCTTCCTTCAGTGGCTTTTCATTGCCTATCAAATAAAAGTTTAACTCTTTTGCTTTGCTTTCACCATCTCAGTAATGCGTTCTTATCTTCGTCACTCTACTCAACACAGCTTTCTCCAAATTCTATCCTCCAAAGTGCTTGCCCTACTTTACCACCTGCCTTTTCCATTTATTCCTCCCAGAGGACCCTCTAATACTGATTTTACTTATTACCATCCTAGAGGCCTCCAAAGACCACTTCAAAGAAGTCTTTTCTGATCTTCCCCTCCTGCAATGCCTTGATCTTCTCAGAAAGTTTTCAGTGCTATAGGAATGACCACCGTATAATGCCTTGAGTTAGAAACATTTGGTCAGTTCTTTGATCTCCCCAGGTATATTGAGAACTCTAGGAAGGCAGAGATCTTTCATTTTGAAATGTCCCAGTGCTTAGTGGAGTGTATGTGTTTCTTTGTTCTTTTGTTTTATTATTTTATTTAGAGTCAGGGTCTCATTCCGTGGCCCAGGCTGAAATGAAATGGCACTATCACAGATCACTGAAACCTGGAACTTCTGGGCTCAAGCAGTTCTCCAGCCTCAACCTCCCGAGTAGCTAGGGCTACAGGCGCTCACCGCCACACCTGGCTAAATTTTATTTTTTATTTTTATACTTTTATTTTTTGTAGAGATGTATTGCCTAGGCTATTGAAGTGTTTTGAATATAGTAGATGCTTAATAAATATTTGTTAAGTGAATTAGTGGATTTTAATTTTGTAAAGATGACATAACATAAACTTCTATGATGTTTATTAATATTCTAAGCAACATGCTATCAACTACAGAATAAATTGTTTGCTTTTAAATGCTTCCTGGAAAAGAGATTAATTGCTCTGGTTAAATTAACTTGCATAGCTGATAGGTGAGATTCCAGATGCAGGAAAGAAAACTAGCACAAGCTCATAAATTCAACATTCTGAATAACAAATGTTGCTTCTTGGAAGAGATATACCAGATTACAGCTAGGTTCAAGCCCTGTATCACAGATATCTATCAGGAACAATATAGTTTCACCATGACAACTGCAGAAGGCAGTTCTGGCCTCCTTTCCTAGGTTGGATTGAGGACTAGTTTCCAAGAGGCATCAAATTGAATTTCATGTGTAGAATTCAACTGGCAGGTTAAAAGGGCTTGTAGATCTAATTCGATGTGTAGAATTCAACTGGCAGGTTAAAAGGGCTGGTTTTCCTGTGAGGTAACTAGTGTTAGTTAAAGGCACTGAAAACAAAGTACAGACAATCTCTTTCCCAGTATTCAAAGGCAGCAGAAGAGGTGTGGGCTGAGGTTAATTCACAGCTGATGATGCAACTAAATAAAAATAAACAGATGTGATGAGTGACTGTTGATTGAAAGCAATTTTTAAAAATTAAAGTTCATATATTTATTCAAATTAGCTTTGACCTAATGCCCTATTTCTATCCACCCAGGACACCACAATACACTTCATCATGTCTTCATAGTCCTCTCTTGGCTGTGACGGTTTCTCAGATGTTTTTGATGACCTTGACAGTTTTGAGAATTAATGGTCAGGTATTTGGTAAAGTGTCCCTCATTTGAGATTTGTCTAATGTTTTGTAGGCTGAGGTTATGTGTTTGGCAAAGAAGACCCACAGAGGCAAAGTACCATTTTCCTCCCATTACACCAAGGGTATATACTATCTGCATGGCTTAACATTGTTGATGCTAACCATAATCACCTGGCTGGGACAGTGTTTGCCAGGTTTCTCCACTGTGAAGTTACTGTGTTGTATCACTTTCCACACAGTACTCTTTGGAAGAAAATTACTATGTAAAGTGTGAGGAGTTATGATTCACCTCCTTGAAGGTGGAGTATCTACATAAATTATTTGGAATTCTTCCACAGGAGAGATTCGTCTGTTCTCCACTATTTATCTAATCATTTATGTATTTGTTCAATCATTTATTTATATCAGTATTAACTCATGTATAATTACTTTATACTTTCAGTTATCCAATACTACTTTATTTTCTTACTCAAATTGTTCCAGCTTTGGGCATTGGGAGCTCTTTCCATTCTTCTCTACATACCTTTGATATCTCCCTCCATTGCATATGCATATTTAATTACTTTTTTAGCAGTTTCTTACTTTCTGGTACTACAAAATGGTCCAGGTTCATTTTGTATATTTCCAGTCGTGGCCCTAGAACTGAGATGGGATTGTTCCCTTGACCCCATTCGCGGGTGGGAACTGGAGTGGCTCATTTCATTCCGCCCATGACTGGCCACTTCTCATAGGAGGGACTGTGTGAGCGAGCTAATATGGGAACCAGAATGAACCAACGCTGGGACTGACTTGTTGCTCATCTGGCAACAGCAGGCTTTGTGTGGGCCCCAAAGCAGCATCACTCAGTGGCAACAAGGATACTTACCATCCAGAGATCTTGGTTTCTATGCCATTCTCCAATCAAAGGAAAGGGAGCTCCTTGGAGAAATTGGCTAATTCTGATACAGAAGGGCTGGGCTCCCAGCTAAACCCCACCCTTTAAGCCTGCAACCGTGGCCCTAAGTGAAAACAGTTGACCCCGTTTTTCTGTCCAAATGTTGCCTTTTTGGCTTGCCCCTATCCTGTGCCCATAAAAGACTTCAGGTGGTGGAGCAACACGAGCAGCTGAGCATCAAGGCTACAAGTGGCTCAGTGGTGAGCAGAGAAGCTTCTGAGCAGCATCCAAATGTGTTACAACCAATGCTCTTTCACCTCTGCCATCCGGGGACAGCCAAGTGCCAACCTGCTCAGTGGAGGGTCAGAGTGGCAGCCCCTGCCCTCTCGGCGCCCAGGTTCTTGTCTAGCGTCCAGGAAGAATCAAGTCACACGAACCATTTGAAAGGTAATGAATTTGGAAGATTTTATTGAGCAGTGGGTGGCTCTCAGCAAAAAGGGAGGCTGGAAAGGGGATGGGAAGCTGATCATTCCCTGAAGCCTGGCGGTCTCCGGCTGGGCCCCTCCTAGAAGCTGCACCATCTGAAGTTAGCAGTGTCTATCCGTAATCTCCGATGCTTCTCTGCTCACTACTCAGCCACTTGTAGCCGTGATGTTCAGCTGCTTGTGTTGCTCCGCCACCTGAAGTCTTTTATGGGAACAGGATAGGGGCGAGCCAAAAAGGCAACATTTGGGCAGAAAAACGAGGTCAGCTGTTTTCACTTAGGGCCACGGTTCCAGGCTTAAGGGTGGGGTTTAGCTGGGAGCCCAGCCCTTCTGTATCAGAACTAGCCAATTTCTCCAAGTGGCTCCCATTCCTTTGATTGGAGAACGGCATAGAAACCAAGATCTGTGGATTGTAAGTATCCTTGTTGCCACTGAGTGAGGCCCTCTCAGTAGGCAAAACAAGGAAACATAAATGTGTATGCTAACCTGTGTATATATATAAATATCTATAAATTTTTCAATGCATTACCATCTCTATTATGCTAAGCTAATTATGAACTCATACTGAGGTGTCCAACTCAAATATATTACCATCTGGGTCATTCTAGTCTTATCCCCTTGTTTGTCTGTAACTGCCATTCTGATAGTGAGAACCCTGCCTTACATCATCTGCCATCCATTTATGTGATTGTTCAATGCCAGTATTTTGTATAGTGGTTTCAGAATTATTAACCCATATTTCCATGAGAAACAGCTTTACTAATTAGATTACATTGCTGTATAAAAGTTATTTTGCCTTAGTTTTACAGACTATGCACATTTCCAAATTTACTTAGATTAACACCTTTTCCTGAACCTCATTTGGTGAGGTTGTTCACATATCTGTAATACAATTCGATTATTTTACCAGAGTCTGCCTTACATTCTAGAATCCTCCAACATCCTAAATGACTTTGTATACATGCCTAAATGTCTTTATATATATAGACACAAATATATATATAATTTACTTTGCATACTTTAAGAATCAGTCATTGCTATGTCTCTTGCAACTATTGATCAATTACCATCTTTATTGATTTGCCTTTTGCATGTCATCTAATTGAAATTATATCATATGTAGTTCAGACTGGCTTTTTTCACTTAGCAACGTGCATTTGAAGTTCAGTCCTTTGAGGTTTTGATAGCTCACGTCACTATATTATTGACTAGTATTCCAGTCTATAAATGTACCACTATTTAGTTATCCATTCACCTATTGAAGAATGTCTTTTTTCAGTTTTTTTTGTCATTATGAGTACAGCTTTTATACCCATTTATGTGCAGGTATTGTATAAATATATGTTTTCTTATATTTATAGAAACTAGGTAAATATCTAGGTGTACAATTGCTGGATAATATGGTAAGGCTATGTTTAACTTTGAAAGAAACTGCTAAACTGTCTTCCAAAGTAGCAGTACCATTTTGCATTTGGATCAACAATGGTCCCTGCTGCTCTGCATCCTCTCTAGTATTTGGTACTGAATTTTTTTTTAAGCCATTCTGCTAGGTATGCAATGGTATCTTATTGTTCTTTTAATCTGTGTTTCCCAAAGGACAAATTATGTTGAGCAGCTTTTCATGTGTTTATTTGCCATATGTGTATTTTCTGTGGTGAGGTATTAATTCAGATCTTTAGCCTATTTCCTAAAATAAGAATTATTTTTCTTATTATTAAGTTTTGATATTTTTTATGTCTTTGTATATTTTGGATACAAGTCATTTATCAGATGTGTGTTATGTAAATATTTCTCCTAGTCTATACCTTGTCTTTTTACTTTTTCAACAGTGTCTTTCCTAGAGCAAAAGTTTTCAATTTTACTAAAGTACAACTTACCAATTTTTTCATGAATCATACTATTTGCATTGTATTTGAACACTTGTCACCAAACCCAACATAATTTAGGTTTTCTCTTATGTTTCCTTAAATAAATTTTACAATTTTGTATCTCACATTTAGGTCTATCATCCCTTTGGAATTCACTTTTTTGTAAGGTGTAAGGTTCTTTCTTTTTTCATTTGCTTTTTTCTGTCTTTTTTTTTTTTTCTTTCTTTTTGCATGGGGATATCCAATTGTCCTACCATCCTTTGTTGTAAATATTATACTTTCTTCATTGAATTTACTTTGTTACATCATCAAAGATCAGTTTACTATATTCACACAGATCTATTTTGGGCCTCTCTGTTCTGTTCAACCAAACTATCTGGCAATTTTTTTTCCCAATAGTACACTATCTTAATTACTGTAGTTTTATAGTAAGTCTTGAAAAACTGGTTCATAAAAGTTTTACACCTTTCTTCTTCAGTATTTGGTTATTCTATGTCCTTTGTTTCTCCATATAAACTTTAGAACCAGGTTGTTGATACTTACAAAATAACTTGCTGAGATTTTGACTAGGGTTGCATTGAAGATATCAATAAAAAATACGGACTATATGTTTTAATATTGGGTCTTTCAATCCATGCATATGGACTCTCTATTTAGATACTCTGATTGTTTTCATCTGTATTTTATCATTTTTCTGCATATAGATTCTGTACATGTATTAGATTTATATGTAAATGTTTATTTTGGGAGGAGGAGTTTATTGTAAATGGTACTTATGAAAAAAATTAACATTTTATGTTAACCTCGAGGCCTGCAGTCTTGTTATTCCCACTTATTGGTTTCAAAAGTATTAATGTAGATTCTTTGAGATTTTCTAGAGTGACAGTATTGCCATTGGTAAATAAGGCATTTTTATTCCTTCCTTTTCAATTGGTGTACGTTTTATAATTATTATTCCTATCATTGCACTAACTAGAATTTCCACAAATATTTTGAACAATATTGGTAAGAGATGACCTCTTTGCTTTGTTCTCAATTTTAGGGCATAAACTCTTAGTGTCTTACTAAGTATGAGGTTAGCAATTGGTTTTTGACTTGTCCATCAAGTTAAAGTAGTTTCCCTTTATTTCTAGTTTGCTGAGAATTTTTATCATGAATGAGTATTGAATTTTCTAAAATGCTTTTTCAATGTCAACTGATAGAATCCTATGACATTTCTTCCTTAGCCTGTTGATATGGTAGATTACATCCCGGTATTTTCTAATGTTGAATCAGTCTTACATATCTGGAAAAACTTTCATCTCACCATGGTGCATAACTCTTTTCAGTCATTATTGAATTTGATTTGCTAATTTTTTAAAAGGTTTTTCTGTTTATGTTTATGATAGATACTGTAGCTTCTCTTCCTCCTCCTCCTCCTTCTGGTTTCAGTTTAAGGGTGATGCTAGCCTCAAGAATGGGTTAGAAAAATTTTTCTCTGCTTTTATTTTCTGCAAAGGATTGCGGAGAATTAGAATTATTTTTCCCATATGTTGATACAAACTTCCCAGTGAAACAAGATGGATGTAGCGCTTTCATTTTTGTGCAAGTTTTTATGAATCGCATTGTTCAAGGAATTGGTTTATTTCATCCGCGTTATCAACATTTTTGCTAATAGATTTATTTATGGTATTTCTATAGTATCCTTTCAGTGTCAGTGAGCTCAGTTTGTATAACCTCTCTTTAATTTTTAATATTAATAATTTGTGTCTTCTCTTTCTTCATTGGTTAGCCCAGCCTGATGTTTACCAATTTTATTTATCTTCTCAAAAATTAGCTGTTAGGCTTTTTAAATTTTCACAATTCTTTTACTGTTTTCAATTTAATTGGTTACTGTTCTATTTGTTTTCTCTGCTTGCTTTATGCTTAAATTTTCTTCTCTAAGTGGCAGCTTGGAGGTATTGATTTTAGAGCTCCCATATGTTCTAATACAGGCATTTAATGCTGTAAACGTCCTTGTTAGCAATATTTTTCCTGGATCACATAATCTTTGATAATTCCAATTTTAATTTTTTGATTGATACATAATATTTGCAGTTATTTATAGCATACATGTGATATCTTGTTACATGCATAGAATGGGTAATAATCATGTCAGGATATTTAGGTTGTCCATCACTTCAAGTATTTACCATTTCTGTGTTGGCAATATCTCAAGTCCTCTCTTCTAGGTATTCTGAAATATATAATACATTGTTAATTATAGTCACAATGCTCTGCCATCAAACATTAGAACTCATTTCTTCTATCTAACTGTATATTTGTACCCATTAACAAACTTCTCTTTATAACCACACCAATCCACATATCCCACCAGCCTCTGATACCTATCATTCTCCTTTCTACCTTTATGAGATCAAATATTTTAGCTCCCACAGATGAATAAGAACATGCAGTATTTGTCTTTCAGTGTCTGCTTTATTTCACTTAACATAATGCCTCCAGTTTTGTCCATGTTGCTGCAAATGACATAATTTCATTCTTTACTATGACCAAATAGTATTCCATTGTGTATATATGCCATGTTTTCTTTGTCCATTCGTCCATTGATGAACACTTAGACTGATTTTATATCTTTGCTATTGAGAATAGTGCTGCAATAAACATGGCGGTGGAGATGTCACTTTGATATACTGATTTCCTTTTCTTTGAATAAATACCCAGTAGTGGGATTGCTGGATTACATGTTAGTTCTATTTTTACTTTTTTGAGAAATCTTCAAGCTTTTTTCTATAGTGGCTGTACTAATTTACATTCCCACCAAAAGTATACAAGAGTTGCATTTTCTCTACATCCTCTCCAGCATCTGTTATTTTTTGTCATTTTAGCAATAGCAATTCTAACTGAGGTAAGATTGTATCTTATCATGGTTTTGATTTGAATTTTCCTAATAATTAGATATGTTGAGCATTTTTTATATACTTGTTGGCCATTTGTATTTCTTATTTTCTGACATTATCTCTTCATGCCTGTTGCCCACCTTTTAATGAGATTGGTTTTTGTTTGTTTGCTTTGTTTTGTTTTTTACTGTTAGGTTGTTTCAGTTCCTTGTATACTGTGAATATTATTCTCTTGCCAGATGAATAACTTACAAATATTTTCTGTCATTCAAAATGTTGTCTCTTTGTCTCTTCACTCTATTGATTGTTTCCTTTGCTGTGTGGTGTTCCAAGCACCATTTATTAAAGAAGCTGTCCTTTCTCCAATGTATGTTCCTGGGGCTTTTGTTGAAAATCACTTGGCTATAAATATGTGAATTTATTTTTGGGTTTTCTATTTAGTTCCAATGTTTTATGTGACTGTTTTTATACTAATACCAAGCATTTTTTGGTTACTATAGCCTTGTAATATATATTAAGAAGGGTGTGAGGTCTTGCTCTATCACTCTGGCAAGAGTGCATTGGTGCAGTCATACATAGCTCACTGCAGTGTCAAATTCCTGAACTCAAGCAATCCTTCAGCCTCAGCCCCCTGAGTAGCTGGGACTACAGGCATGTGCCACCATGACCAAATATATTTACTTTTGGTAGAAACAGAGTCTCACTATGTTACTCAGGCTGGTCTTGAACTCCTGGGCTCAAGCAACCCCCCACACTGGCCTCTCAAAGTGCTGGGATTATAGGCATGAGCCGCCACACCAAACCCTTGTAATATATTTTGAAGTGAGATACTGTGATGACTCCAGCTTTGCTCTTTTTACTTACAATTGCTTTGGTTCTTTGGGCTCTTTTTTTTATTCCATACATATTTCAGAATTTTTTTTTTTTGTATTTCTGGGAAAAATGACATTGGTATTTTGATGAGATTGCATTGAAACTCTAGATTGTTTTGGGTACTATGGTTATTTTAGCAATATTAGTTCTTCCAATCCATGAGCATGGGATGTCTTTTTGTTTGTGTCCTCTTCAATTTCTTTCATCAGTGTTTTGCATTTTTGTTTGTGGAAATCTTTCACCTCCTTGGTTAAATGTATTTTAAGGTATTTTATATTTGTAGCTATTTTAAATGGTATTGTTTTCTTGATTTGTTATTCTCTGCTAGTTTATTATTGGTGTGTAGAAATGAAAAATAAATTCAGTAAAGTTGCAAAATATAAAACTGTATGAAAAATAAAAATTTCTGTTAATAAATTTTTTCATATGGTTTTATATTTTGCAACTTTACTGAATCTATAAGCTCTATGTTTTATTTTTCTGGTGGAGCTTTTTCTAGATACAAGATCATGTTATCTGTAAAGAGGGACAATTTGACTTCCTTTTTTCCAATTTAAATGCCTCTTATTTCTTTATCTTGCCTTATTTCTCTAACTAGGACTTCTACTGCTATTTTGAGTAGAAGTGGTGAAAGTTAGTATCCTTGTCTTCTTCCAGTTCTTTAAGACTTTCAGCTTTTTCCCATTCAGTATGATGTTAGTTGTGGGTTTGTCATATATGGCCTATATTATGTTGAGGTATGTTTCTTCCATGCCTAGTTTGTTAAGAGTTTTTATCATGAAAGAATTCTAAATTTTATCAAATGCTTTTTCTGGATCTTTTGAGATGATTACATTTTTTGTTCTTTGTTCTGTTGAGGTAATGTATCACATTTATTGATTTGTGTACATGAGACCATCCTTCCATCCCATGTATAAAACCCACTGGATTATGGTGTATAATCTTTTGGATGAACTGTTGAGTTCTGTTTGCTAGTGTTTTGTTAAGCTCATTTGCATTTATATTGGCCTATATTTTTCTTTATTTGTTGCATTCTTGTCTGCTTTTGGTATCAGAATGATGATGACCTCATCTCAGATTTAGTTAAGGAGAATTCCTTTTTTTTTTTTTTTTTTTTTTTTTTTTGGTGGGGGAATAGTTTGAAAAGAATTGATATTAGTTCTTTTCTGTAAATGTAGTAGAATTTAGCAATGAAGCCATCCAGTCATGAGCTTTTCTTTGTTGGGATTTATTTTTTATTAGTGATTCAGTATCATTACTTGTTTCTTGTCTCTTTGGATTTTCTGTTGCCTCCTGATTCAATCTTTGTAGGTTGAATGTGTCCAGGAATATGTTTAGTTCCTCTAGGTTTTCCAGTTAGTTAGCATATAGCTGTTGCTAATAGTCTCCGATCTTTTGTATTTCTATGGTATCAGTTGAAATGTCTCCTTTTTTATTTCTGATTTTTTTGGTTTTCTTCTCCTTTTTCCTCAGTTAGTCTAGCTAGCAGTTTATCACTTTATTCCAACTTCTCATTTCACTAATCCTTTGTATTTTTAGTCTCTATTATGTTTAGGTCTTCTCTGATCTTTATTATTTCTTTTCTTCTACTAATTTTGAATTTGGTGTATTATTGCTTTTCTTATTTTTTGAGGTAGATCATGAGATTGTTTACTTGAAATCTTTCCACTTTTTGTTGTAGGCATTTATTGCTATAAACTTCCCTCTTAATGTTTTTGCTGTATCCCATAGATTTTGGAATGTTGTGTTTTAATTTTTGTTTCAAAAATTTTTTTGATTTGCTTCATTGACCCGCTGGTCACTTTGTAGCATGTTGTTTACTTTCCATGAATTTGTACAGTTTTCTATGGTCTTACTGTTATTTATTTCTATTTTTATTCCATTGTAGTCTGAGAAGATACTTGATATAATTTTGATTTTTTAAAAAAATTGTTGAGACCTATTTTATAATCTAACATATAGTCTATTGTAGATAATTTTCTATGTGCTGATGAGAAGAATGTGTATTCTGTAGCTGTTTAATAAAATATTCTTTAAATGTCTGTTAAATCCATTTGATCTGAAGTGCAGTTTACATCCAATGATTCTTTGTTAATTTTCTTTCAAAATGTTCTGTCTAATGCTGAGAGTGGAGTGCTAAAGACTCCAATTGTATTGCATTGGAGTCTATCTCTCCCTTTAGAAATAGTAATTTTTGCTTTATATATCTAGGTGCTCCTGTACTAGATGCATATATGAGAATTGTTATACTTTCTGGCTGAATTGGTCCCTTTATCATTATATAATGACATTCTTTGTTTCTTTTCACTGTTTTTGATTTTAAATATGTTTTATCTATTATACGTACAGTGACTTTTGGTCACTTGTGGGTTCCATTTGCATGGAATATCTTTCTCAGTCCTTTTTAGCTTCAGTCTTTATTAGTGAGGTCAGTTTCTTGTGAACAGCATATAGTTGGGTCACACTTTTTATATTCATTCAGCCATTCTATATCTTTTAAGTGGAAGTTTAATCCATTCATATTCAAGATTATTATTGATATGTTAAGGCTTATTCCTGTCATTTCATTAATTGTTTTATTATTATTTGGTATATCCTTTGTTCCTCTTTTCTATCTTATTGTCATTGTGGTTTGGTGGCTTTCTGTAGTGGCAATAGTTGAATCCTTTCTCTTTTTTATTTGTGTGGTTGCTTGACCAGTGGGTTTTATGCTTGTGTGTGTTTTCATGATACAATGCATGATAGATACTGCTTTTTTTCTTTGTGGTATAGGACCCTCTTAAGCATTTTTTGTAGGTCTGGTATAGTGGTAATGGATTTCCTCAGCTATTGCTTATCTGAGAAATACTTTATTTTCCCTTCATTTATAAAGGTTAACCTTGCTGGGTATAGTATTTTTGGTTGGCATTGTTTTGTTTGTTTCAGCATTTTGAATGTATCAACCCATTCTTTCCTGGCCTGTGAGGTTTCTGTTGAGAAATTTGTTGTTTGTCAGTTGGGATTTATCTTATAAGTGACTAGATACTTTTTTTCTTGCTGTTTTAGAATTTTGTCTTTGTCTTTGATTTTTGACTGTTTGACTACTCCGTGTAGTGAGGAAGACCTTTCCAGGTTGTATCATTTTGAGGATTTCTGAGCTCCCTGTATCTGTATGCCTAAATCTCTTGATATGCTTGGGAAATTTTCAGCTATTATTTTCTTAAATTGATTTTCTACCCCTTTGGTCTTTTCTGCACTTTCTAGAACACTAAGAATTCAAATATTTGGGCACTTTGTGGTGTCCCATATGTCATGTTGGTTTTGTTCATTCTTTTTTTTTATTATTTTTCTTTATTTTTGTCTGACTGTTATTTCAAAAGACTTATCTTAAAGTTCTGAAATTTTTTTCTTCTAATTGATCGAGTTTATTGTCAAAGCTCTTGAATGTATATTTTATTTCATTCATTGAATTCTTTAATTCCAGGATTTCTGTTTGGTTCTTCTTTATGGTATCCTATCTCTTTGGTAAGTTTCTCATTTATATTGTGAATTACTTTTCTGATTTCTTTTTATTGTATATCTATGTTTTTATCTAAATGAGCTTTTAAAATATCATTATTTTGAATTTTTGTGGCATTTTATAAACTGCTTTTTCATTAGAATCTGTTGCTGCAGAAGTATTGCATTTTCTTGCAGGTGTCATATTTCCTGGCCTTTTCATGTTCCCTGTATCCTTTCATTGACACCTGTGCATTTAATGTAACAGTCATGTCTACGTTTTTGGATCTACTTTCATAGGGGAAAACATTTTCCTGAAGATATATCTATGGTGTTGGTTGATTAGGGCACTTTGGCTTTGGTTCTGGGTGCAAGCAGTAACATTGTCTTCATATATTTTCTTCAGCTATAAACAGTGTCAATGATATATGTGATTTCCCCGGTAGCTTAGGGTGCAGTTATCAGTGGAGATTGTGGTGAAGTTTTGCTGAGGATGGGGAAGCTAGGTAAGCCAGTGCTCAGGCCCCAGTGGTGGCAGTGGCAGGCTAAGCATGCTTGTCTTTTGGTCTGAGGGTGGCATATGCTGGTATCAGTGTTAGTGGTTGTAGGTTGGCCAGTTCTTGGACCTCCAGGTACCTTGCTTGAGTGTCAGCTGTGACATCAGTAGGTCATATTGGTGGACAGTTTCTCAGATCCCTGGGAAATAGGCTTGGTGTGGTTGATGGCAGCAGCAATGGTAGGGCAACCATTTGGCTCCCAAGCTGTCTGCACTGGTGTTGGTGATGGTTTCAACAGGCTGAGTGGGTTAGTATAGTATCTGTGGCCAGCCCAGCAACCCCAGTGATATGTATGGGTATTGGTTGTGGTGGGCAGGAATGAGGTGATCTTTAGGTTCCCCCTTGGATGGAGGCAGCAGTGGTGGTGGTAGATGGGGAAGCCTCTCCTCAGGGCACATGCAAGTGCACTGTGCACCTGCTACTCTGGAAGGTAAGGTTGCTGTCAGTGGCAGCAGTGTCACCAGGGCTGGTGTCACTGCCAGTAGCTTGCACTTTATCTATAGCAGCAGCATCCAGCAGCAGTGGTGGCTGCAGGCAAAGGATGTCAGTTGGGCTTCAGGAATGTAAAGATGCAGGGGCTGATGGGCCCAGGGCAGGATATAGTCTGTTGTGGGCTGGGCTCTCAAAATGGCCCTGCAATGTGGCTGCTTAGGTCTCACCAGGTGTTTAAGACTCAAGATGAGCTTCCTCTCTGAAGCAATGTTTCCAGGCAACTGCCTGTGTTAGTCTCAGGGCCTGCAAGGGTCAAGGGGCTCTCCTGTGGCTAGAATTGCAGGAGTCCATGGTGGGAATTTAGACTAATGGGAGTCTCTCACTTCACTTTCCCCACATTGAGGAGCCTTTCCAGGCTCCCAGCTGATCTTGGCTGAGCAGACTGCCTAGCTTCCCTCTCCTTCCTTGCCTTAGGTGTTTCCTGTCACTTTTCTGTTGAATTTCAGTATTCTCTCTTAAATCATTCATTCAAAGTGTGATTATCTACTCACTGTTTTGATTCTTCTTCATGGAGGGTGCAAGTGTCAAATGTCCCTAGTCAGCCATCTTGAAACCCCTTCTGAATTTTTATTTTCATTCTGTTCAAAATACATTTTAATTTTTCTTGAGAAATATATTTTTTGATCTGTGTGTGTTAGGAAGCATATTGTTTCATTCTTGAATATTTGGTAATTTTTCAGCTTTCTTTTTGTTATTAATTTTTACTTTTATTCTATTACGGTCTGAGAACATATTTTGCATGATTTCAATTATTTTATATGTTAGTTGTATCTTATGGCCAAGAATGTGGTCTATTTTGGTAAGTGTTTCATATGAGCTTGTGAAAAACGTGTATTCTGGTGTTGTTAGATGGAGTGAATTATTTAAATGTCAATTGGACCAAGTTGATTGATAGTGCTGTTTAGGTCATCTACATCTTTACTGATTTTCTGCCTGGTTGGTATGTCAGTTACTGATAAACTGTGTTGAAGTCTCTGACTACAATAGTGGATTTGCCTACTATTAAGTTTTTTCAGTTTTTGCTTAATGTATTTTGTTTGGGGTATACACTTTCAGCATTGTTATTCTTCTTAAAGAACTGACACATTTATCATTATACAGCATTTCTTCTTTATTCCTGACAATCATCCCAGCTTTGAAGTCTGCTTTCTCTGAAATTGTCAAAGGTCCTTCAGCTTTCTTCTAATTAGTGTTCGCATGGTATGTCTTTCTCCATTTCTTCATTTTTAACTTATAGGATTATTATGTTAGTTTTCTGTAGATTACATAGTTTGGTTTTAATTTTATTCATTCTGATAAGTCTTTGTCTTTAAATTTGTAAAGTTATACTATTTACATTTAAAGATATTATTAATATTCTTGGTTTTTATTCATTGAATTTTTCTTTGTTTCTTATTTTTCTTCATTTTTCTGCTTTTCTGGTTTTAATGGAGCATTTTATATTTCCTCTCTTAACATATCAGTTATATTTATGTTTTAAAATATTGGGTGCCTAGAGTTTTCTGTATGCAGTTATAATTAATATAATTTCACTTCAAATAATACTATATTGCTTTCATATGTAGTGCCTTAGAACATATTCTTCCCAAATTCTCCCTTCCATACCTTGTGACATTGTTTTTATTTACCTCATTTATTCATGTGCTATATTCACCCAATATATTGATTCTATTATTACTTTGTATAGTAATCATTTAGATGAACTAAGAATAAAAAATGTTAATTTTCTTTTAATTTCATTTATTCCTCTTTTTATGCTTTTTTCCTTTACAAATATCTAAATTTTTTACCTATAACATTTTTTCTCTGACTGAAAAATGTCTTTTAAGAATTTCACTGCATATAATTCTAGGTTGATTTTTTTCTTTCAGCTATTCAAATATTTTACCAACTCTCTTCTTGCTTACATGATTTCTGATAAGAAATCTGTCATAATTCTCATTCTATTCTTATTTCTCTATAAGTAAAGTCTCTTACTCTCTCTCTCCCCTTCTCTCTTTCTCAAAATTTTCCTATTGTCTCTGGTTCCTAAAATTTAAATATGGTATGTCTCTCTCTCTCTCTCTCTCTCTCTCTCTCTCTGTGTGTGTGTGTGTGTGTGTGTGTGTGTGTGTGTGTGTGTGCATGTTTCGGTAATTTACCTGCTTGTTATTCTCCAAGATTTTGTTTAGTCTATCTCATTAATTCTGGAGAGTTGTCAGCCATTATTATTTCAAATATTTCTCCTATTCTTCTCTTATTCTTTTTATCCTTTTATCCTAATTATATACATGTTACATTTTTTAAAATTGGTCCAGAGTTCTTGAAATTCTGTCTCCCCCCACCCCCAACATACACTCATTTTCTTTGTATTTAAGTTTAGGAAATTTTTATTCACCAGTCTTCCAGCCCTGATTCTTTCCTCAGTCATTTATAGTCAATGGATGACCCCATCAAAGACACTGTTCATATTTGTTATAGCATTTTTTTGTTTCTAGCATTTGTTTTTTATTATTTTTTAGTTTTTCCATTTATCTCTCTATATTACCTATTTGTTATTGCATATTATCTACTTTTATGTCTGGTATAGCCCTTAACAATTCAATTGTAGTCATTTTAAATTCCCTGGCTGCTAATTTTATCATTCTGTCATATCCGAATCTGGTTCTGATTATTGCTTTGTTTCTTCAAATGGTGTTCATTCTTGCCTTTATGCATGCCTTGTAATTTCATTAGAGGCTAGACATATTGTATCAGGTAATAGGAACTGAAATAAATAGAAGTATAATGTGAGGATACTTGTTTATCTGATTAGGATGTGGCCTCTGTTTGATGTTTGTTATAGCTATAGGTATCAGAGGCTTCAAATTGCTATAGCATCCGTGTTTTAATTCCCTTGGGTGTCCCTAAGTAGTTCTAGTTAAAGTTTATGTCTTGTATTTCTTTCAGGCATAATCAATTATATTTATAAGGTAGTCTTTTTTCAGTCATGTGTATGGGATGGGGAGTGTTCTATAATCTTCCTATTAAATCACAGTCTTTTAGTGGGCTTGCATATTGGAGCTGTGTTCTCCAAAGTTGTTTCTCCAGTGGTACAGCTTGTTCTCAATAGTCTCTAATTCTTTCCTTGACTAGAATGTTCTCCATCCTTTTCCTTGATACTCTGACTTCTATTGGATATCCTGTTCCTTTAGGTGAATTGGGAAGACTGAATGATACTGAATGGAAGAAATTTTCTTTCTGGTAGAAGTTTCTGGCAAACACTTTCCCTTGGAGAGTAGGATTTGCTTATATAGAAGGTTATGAGTATACTTCACAATGATTGTTCTTCCCCTTTCTCCATTAATAAAAAGTAAGGATATTCATCAAATCTTCACCATAAAAACTGGTCGGAGTTTCTGGGGATAAAGCCCATGAAAATTTGGGAAACTCCCAAAAAAACAATGATCTTCAATAGTTCCTGTCACTTTGTCTACACTTAGTCTCCTGCAATTCATCAAATGTAATATGTATTTCTATGGGGGAGTCAAGACCACCCCCAGTTTTAATGATTTACTAAGAGGACACATAGAACTCAGCCCTAATCATACAGTTATAATTTTCTGTAGTAAAATGATACAAAACAAAAGTATCAAGGGCAAAAGATGTATAGGATGAAGTCTGGTGGAAAACAGACTCAAGCTCCCCAGAGTCTTTTCCCAGAGGAAGCACACAGCCTGCTGTTAATTCCTACAGCAATGAGTTGTGACAATGCATATTAAATGTTACCTACCAGGAAAGCTTATTAGAGACTCAGTGCCCAAAATTTTTATTGAGGTCATCCTCTGCATAGCACATACCAAAATTCCAGACTCCCAGAAGAAAAATAGTGTTCAGAATAAACTGCCTGGTTTGTACAAACAATGTAGGCAAAGTGAGCCCTGTTATTAGGTCTGGGAATGGTAGTAACTCCCCTGAAATCCAAGTTTCCAAACACCAGCCAAGAGCCAACCTTTCAGCAGATCTTTTTTTGATTTTTATTTTTTACTTTAAGTTCTGGGATACATGTGCAGAACGTGCAGGTTTGTTACATAGGTATACATGTACCATGGTGGTTTGCTACACCTATCAACCTGTCATCTAAGCCCACATACATTAGGTATTTGTCCTAATGTTCTCCCTCCCCTAGCCCCCGACCCCTCAACAGGCCCCGGTGTGTGATGTTTCCCTCCCTGAGTCCATGTGTTCTCATTGTTCAACTCCCACTTACAAGTGAGAACATGCGGTGTTTGATTTTCTGTTCCTGTGTTAGTTTGTGGAGAATGATGGCCTTCCAGCTTCATCCATGTCCCTCTGGCAAGTCCTTCTAAGGACAGCATGTACAGTCCTGCTGTGTTGAGTCATGCGCATCATGTTTCTCCCAGTTTATGGCTCCAGACTCTTCTGCTTCAGATTTCAGTGGCTATATCTCTCCAGATGTGCCTGTCTCACCTGATTTCAGGGTAGTAACTTATCCTTATCCTGCAACCTCAGTTTTTTAAAAGGTCCAAGAGAAGTCATTGCCTTTTCTTTATTGTAGGAATTTCTTGTTGAAATAATGACAGTGATGAATTCTATGTTCTTTATATGTCAGAATTGAAATAAAGCCCAAGGGGCAATTTCAATGCCACAAATTCCTTTGGGAAAGTTTTTACCGAACTCTAGTGTTGTTTTGGTAACAACAAACAAGCCTTTCTCTTCTTCCTGGAGGAAAAAGAAACAAAAAGAAAAATAAAGAAAACAATGTCCAGAGGGTAGGTGTATGTGTGTGTGGGTTAGGGAATGGGGAGGATGGCTGGGAGGGTGAGTGGTTGGGTGCAGCCAAATAGCAATACCCGTCAACTCTCAGCAAAATTTTGAGGGTTTGGAGCAATAACTCTTAATTGTATACATACTAAAATACTAGGGGTGAATTTTGGTAGGATACCATTGTTTAAGCCCCATCCAAGACCAATTAAATAAAAATCTTTGTGACAGAACTCAGGCAATGGTATATTTAAAACATGAACTAAAAACACTGCTAAAATAAAAGATGACACAAACAAATGGAAAAAAATTCCATACTCATGAATTGAAAGAATCAATGTTATTAAAATGTCCATACTACCCAAAACAACCTGCAGATTCAACAGGATTTCTATCAAACTACCAATGTCATTTTCCACAGAATTAGAAAAAAACTGTTCTAAAATTCATATGGAACCAAAAGAAAGGGACTGAACAGCGAAAAAAAATTCTAAGTAATAAGAACAAAGCCATAGGCATCACATTACCTGACTTTCAACCATATTAGGCCATAGTAATCAAAATAGCATGGTACTGATACAAAAACAGACACATAGACCAATAGAACAGAATAGAGGATCCAGAAAGAAAGTCACACACCTACAGTCATCTGATCCTTTGACAAAGTTGACAAAAATAAGCAATGAGGAATATTTAATAAATGGTGTTGGGATAGCTGGCAAGCCATATGCAGATGGATTTAAGATTTAAATATGGCCAGGCGTGGTGGCTCACACCTGTAATCCCAGCACTTTGGGAGGTCGAGGCGGGTGCATCACAAGGTCAGGTATTTGAGACCAGCCTGGACAACATAGTGAAATCCCATCTCTACTAAAAATACCACAGATTAGCTGGGTGTGGTGGCGGACACCTGTAATCCCAGCTACTAGGGAGGTTGAGGCAGGAGAATTGCTTGAACCTAGGAGGCGGAGGTTGCAGTGAGCCAAAATCACACCACTGCATTCTAGCCCAGGTCACAGTGTGAGACTCCATCTCAAAAAAAAAAAAAAAAGATTTAAATATAAGACCCAAAACTATAAAAATCCTGGAAGAAAACCTAGGAAACAGCATTCTAACACAGGCCTTGAGAAAGAATTTACGGCTAAGTCCTCAAAAGCAATTGCAAGAAAAACAAAAATAGATAAATGGGACCTAATTAAACTAAAGAGCTTCTGCACAGCAAAATAAACTATCAACAGAGTAAACAGACAACCTACAGAATGGGGGAAAATATTCACAAACTATGCATCTGACAAAGGTCTATATCCAGAATCTATACAAAATTTGAATAATTCAACAAACAAAAAGAAACAAACCCCATTAAAAAGTTGGTAAAAGACATGAACAGACACTTCTCAAAAGAAGATATACCAGCAGCCAACAAACATGAAAAAATGCTCAACATCACGAATCATTAGACAAATGAAAATCAAACCCACCATGAGATACCATCTTACATCAATCAATATGGCTACTACAAAAGAGTCAAAATATAACTGATGCTGGCAAGGCTGCAGAGAAAAGGAAACACTTATACACTGTACGTGGGAATGAAAATCAGTTTAGCCACTGTGAAAAGCAGTTTGAAGATTTCTCAAATAACGTAAAACAGAACTACCATTTGACCCAGGAATCTCATTACTGCAAATATACCCAAAGGAAAAGAAATCATTCTACCAAAAAGATACATGCACTGGTATGTTCATTGCAGCACTATACACAATAGCAAGGGCATGGAATCAATCTAGGTGCCCATCAGTGGTGGATTAGATAAAGAGAATGTGATACATATATACTATGGAATACTATGCAGCCACAGAAAAGAATGAATTTGTGTCCTTTGCAGCAACAGGGATGCAGCAGGAGGCCATTATCCTAAGTGAATTAATGCAGTAACAGAAAACCACATAACACATTGATCTCACTTATAAATGGAAGCTAAGCATTGGGTACACATGGATATCAATGCAGGAACAGAAAACCAAATAACACATTGTTCTCACTTGTAAATGGGAGCTAAGCATTGGGTACACATGGATATCAAGATAAGAACAGCAGGCTGGGCACAGTGGCTCATGCCTGTAATCCTAGCGCTTTGAGAGGCCAAGATGGGTGGATCACCTGAGGTCAGGAGTTCGAGGCCAGCCTGGCCAACATGGCAAAACCCCATCTCTAAGAAAAATACAAAATTAGCTGGGCATGCTGGCGCATACCTGTAATCCCAGCTACTTGGGAGGCTGAGGCAGGAGAATCCACTGAACCTGAGAAGTGGAGGTTGCAGTGAGCTGAGATTGGCCACTGCACTCCAGCCTGGGTGACAGAGCAAGGTTCTGTCTCAAAAAAATAAATAAATAAAAAGTAAGAACAACAAACAACAGACACTGGGGACTAGTAGAAGTGGGAGGGAAAAAGAAGGGAAAGGGCTGTGAAACTACCTGCTGGGTACTAAGCTGACTACCTGGGTGACAAGATCATTCATATCCCAAACCTCAGTCACACAACATACCCATGTAAAAACCTGCACATGTACCACCTGAACCTAAAATAAAAGCTGAAATTTAAGAAACAAAAGAATCTTGGAAATAAAGGGAGTATCAGCAAGCTTGAGAAGGCTGGCTTAAATCCATGGAGTGGAGCTTAAGTATATAGCAGATTTCTATACCTGAGAGCATGTGATTTGGGAAGATTAGTTACATGTATATACACTAGTGAAAGCATATTGTCCAACCCAGCTTTTAGGAAGTAATCCTAAAGAAACAACATTTAAAAAGAGATATGTGTTAAGTGATATATACAAAAATGTTTACTGTAATTGTGATAGATACACTCTTGTCCCAAATTCTTCACCCTTCTCGGTATCCAAGCTTTTTACTATGTCCTGTTGGGGTTTTTCTTTACAAAAGTTGGAGTACACTTTGAGCTTGGTTATGATTTGCTTTGGACAATTTTTTATGGGCAGCTGTAATGTCACCAAGGATTCAGAATGTGCTTGCAAAGTCAAGTTTGTTCCTGCTGTTGCCATAAAATAGCATACCCCAGATAGCCTAATGTTTCATGGAAGAAGAGAGCCACATGGAGAAGATCCTGAATTGCCAATATATACAGGGAACCACAGCTGCCATGGCTGAGCAGTAGATCCACAAATATAAAGATTATTATTTTAAGACACTGAGTTTTGTAGTGGTTTGTTACTGAACATTATTTTAACAATAGCTGACTGATACCATAGTATAATTTACAATATCAAAAATTCAAAAAACAACTTAAATATTCCATAATAGGATTGACTAAGTGAAATATGGCATGTGCATGCCATGGATATGTAGTTACTAAAAACAATGTTATAGAAGAATATTCACTGACCTGGAAAGTCCCATTAGATACTTGATAAATGAATATATAGCTATCAAATACTATGTATAGTATGCTTTTTTGGTAGAAAATATATATAGATTTCTATCTCTGTATATCTATACATTTACATATAAATTTAAATTTTTGCATAAAAAAGATTAAAAAACTAAAGACTAAAATATTAAAAGTGGTTATTTCAGAATGTTGAAATAATAGTTTTTTTTTCTACCTTTATACTCTTCTCTTTTCCAAATTTTAGGGATGCAAATAAGGACAAGGAGAGATTTAACATTACTAAATATTCCAGACAGCTGCAGATTTCCCTTCCATATTACAAATTTCGAGCTGGTCTCGCTGCATGCTAACATGACTGGAAACATCTGAGAGAGTGTCTGCACATCTCAGTATTTGTAAAATCTGAATGAATGAGAATCTGAATGAGGATACATAGTTTATTGATGTCAATAAATGTTTTCATCATCACAGTATATCATTTGTAATTTGTATCAACTCTTCCTTCTTGATTCAGGGTGAAACTTTCTGCAAAACAGTATTGCTGATACAACAGGCATTTAGTGTCTATTTGGTGAGTGTATGAATGGGTGGTTGAAAGACTGAGTCAATGATGGAATGAATGTCAGATGGCTGAGAGATTGTAAAGCAAAACACAAAAAACTCTGGTCCACTTCCTCTTGTTTGGCAAGGAGACCAGGTGGGAGTCAGGACCAACTGCAACTGGGGTTGAATCTATTTTTTAGTGTATAAGAGATGACTCCATACACTGTATCTATGTGAGTGTCACCATGGTTTTGTTCTTATTGATAACCCAGTAGTCTTTTTTCTAAACTTGTTAACCTCTATGTTACAAAAATACATTTAACATGGGTAAATGACTTCAATAATACATTGGCAAGATTCTTTAAATCTTTGTGCCACCAAAGAACAAGGGCTTTCAGAATAGTGGATGTCTTCTTTAAATGGATGCATGAATATGAATAGGTTTGGTATAAAGCTTTGGGATTAGATCAATATTATATGTCATATAAAATAAATCAACTCACGCAGGAACTGACAACAAAATCTTTCCATATCCAGAAATTTGTCCACATTATTACTAGGAGTAATCTGAGTTTGAGTCTCATCATAATCTTAACTTAGGACCTCAAGCAATCATAATGATATAGTCTTCCCTTAATAATGAAAATATTAGCTAATGCTGACAAAAGAAACCACCTCATTTCAGAGTGATATGTATGTAGTAAATAGTGCATTTAGATGTATTTGTATAAATTTCAGATGTATTTGTATAAATTTCAGATTTAATCCACATTTCAGCTCTTCCTTACTGTATGATTCAGGAAGGCTATCTTAGTGCATTTGCACTATTATGACACAAAATATCCTAGTCTTGGTAATTTTTAAGAATAGGCCAGGTGCAGTGCCTCACACCTGTAATCCCAGCACTTTAGGAGGCTCAAGCAGGAGGATCACTTGAGTCCAAAAGTTTGAGACGTCCCTAGACAACATAGTGAGACTTTGTCTCTGCAAAAATTTAAAAACTAGCCAAGTGTGGTGGTGCGTACCCATAGCCTCAGCTACTTGGGAGGCTGAGGTGGGAGGATTGCTTGAGTCTAGTAGGTTGAGGCTGCAGTGAGCCGGGATTGTGCCTCTGCACTTCAACCTGGGCAAAGGAGTGAGCTCCTGTCTCAAAAAATAAAAAAAAAGAAATGAATTTTTCACAGTATTAGATGTTCGTAAAACTAGAGGCACAGTACTAGAGGCTGGCTTGTCCAAGATCAGGATACCAGTAAGTTCAGTGTCTGGTGAGAGCCTGGTTTCTGCTTTCAAGATGGCACCTTGTTGCTACATCCTCTGGAGGGGACTAATGCTGTGTCCTCACCTGGTAGAAGGGATGGATGGGCAAAAAGGGTCCCACAATAGTTCCTTCCAGTTCCTTTATAAGACAGTAATCCCTCATGAATGACAGAGCCCTCAGGAATTCATCACTTCCCCAAAGGCCCCAACTCTTAATATCATCACAATGAGTATTAAATTTCAATGAGGATTTTGGAGGGGACACATTGAAACCATAGCACTCTCTGACATTTCTGAGGTTACCTGTACACAGAACTATGGAAAGCTCTGAATGAGATAGAGGTGAAGAAGCCTGGTCATGTTCCACAAGGCAAACAATGCACTCATCAGTTTGGACAACTCAATTTTTGTAAATTCTTCTCTACACATGACACTAATAGTACCTAGTTACTGTGAGAATAAGTGACGTTAGTCATACACAGTGCCTGGCATAGGTGTTTGGTACATATTAAGCACTAAAGAATTATTAGAGTCCTCCTTGCTTTTTTCTCTTTTAATGTTATTTTCCTCTGTCTTCTATTCTTTGTCTCTTTATGTTCTCCTTATTTTTCCATCTCATGTACTAGGAATTGCTGATTCAGTACAGATGTTTGTGACAGGATATACCCTACTGCATTAGACCCAGTTTCTCTCTTGCCCCAGCATACATCTACTTCCTTTGAGTGAACATGTTCTAAATTTGAAAGATAATGGTGGCAGTTCTTGACATCAAATTCTTCCAGATTCAAGTCAGATGGAAATAGAGAGATTTTAAGGTCTCAGCAAAAATTTGATTGTATCTCACATGCTTTGATTGAATCAGAATTTTATCTCGGCAGGGAGAATGTGCTGCAATTGATTGGCTTAAGTCTGGGTCATACGCTCCAATCCTGGAGTCATGTGTCAGGGCTCCACTTAAATCACAACCTGCAAGTGGGTTGAATAGATGCTGAGAGGCTTAAATGAACATTTAACTTACACAGTATTTTATTTTATTACCAGCCTTAGAATCTTCCCATTCATATAGTAACAGCTCCTCAGGTAATATATAGGAGGCATGGACTGGTTTATATGGAAAGGATTAGGAGAATTTTTAGCCTCAGGATATCAATCCATAGGCTTTTATCTTTTAGAAAAAAAAAAGTCATGAAGACTTATATAAGGACCTCTATCCAATATTGCAATATCTTCACCAGTCTTTTCCCAATTTGACTGTTTCCTATTGTTTAAATTACCCAATTATTCCATAATTAAAGAGGGAGACCAGGAAAGAGCTTCTTCTGTTTTATTTTCTGTGTCTCATCTTCTTCTTTGACATTCCACCATCTATAGCATCACCAACCTGAGCCTGAGTCTCCAACTATTGAAGAATATTTGGTGCCAATATTCTTGTGCCATACTTTTTACGTGTTTGGATGTACTCCCAAATGCCTAATGGTACCCATTAAACTTCAAATTACAAAGATTTTTTTGAGGGAAGAGGCATACAATCCTGTAAATAAGTAATGTAGAAGGAGAAATACACATACACACAAACACACACACACGTTACCGTGTGTGCCAAGAGACATGAAATCTAGGGATAGGATGATAGTTTGTACATATTCATGATTAGAACCAAAGAGAGAAAGAGAGGAAAAACAGATTATAAAGCTTTCTTTTTAGCACTTTGCTTCAGTTCCATTAGAGTTTTAATATCAACAAAGTATTTCACCAAACACCATTATGAATTAGGCCCACCTATCCCTGTCGTTCAGATATGGGAGCTGAGGCCTGGAGAAATTTGGGGTCTTTCTCACTTATTCACTGAGGACTCAGTAGACCTGGCCTCCATTTGCAGTATGGGTAGACATCACCCTTATAACACACACACTCACACACACATACACACACACGCATGCACACACACAACTACAAACAAAATTACTTGGATGAAACTATAATTTTTAATGAAACAGTTCCTATATGTAATTGATTCTATTAATTCAGTTTACAAATCAATTCATTTTGTTAAAAACAAGCCATAAAATTGACTGAACCTTTCACCTTTCCACTGGTCTGATGACTGCATATACAATATAAGCACAAACACCTCCACGTGTGGTTTCAGGGATAATAGACTAACAAGAAACAGGAAGGAAAGTCAGAAAAAAATTAAAAGTGAAGGAAGAACAATGCCAAGGAGTGAGTATAAAGGGGAACAGAGAGGAATGCCAGTCTTCAAAGGACACAGCCTGTTGAGCAACCAGAATTGAGATGCATTGAGAGAAACTGTCAGAGTAAGCCGATGGGAAGACTGACACTCTGGGAGCTCTTATTATGATCCAAGAACTGTTATTTAATTCTCCCCTGACCTGAGAAGGCAGGTACTGTTATTATTATCACATTTGCAGAGATGAGAAAGCTGAGGGACAAATGGGTTAAGTAACTTGCCCAAAGTCATAAAATGGTAAGAGATGAGAAGAGTTTGTGACTCCAGGTAGCCCATGGTGTGATCCTGAGCACTGCTTGTCACAGTGACTGGGAATGAACCTAGAGGTGTGCACAGAAGCCATGGGGCAGTGAGGGGCTGTGAACAGGGACAGTGTTTAGTGCAAGACATGCCCAGTATATGTTGTATGTACACGGAGGGGATTCACGTGATTGACAGCGGTAGAGTAAAATGTGCAGGTAGATGAAAAATGGGCCCAGCATAAAATGCACAAGGGGCAGAAAGAATGGGGAAGTCAGGAGAGAAGAAAGAAAAATAAATGAGTAATTAAGGTAGCCAAAGCCTTGAACTGGACTGAAACACCAGCCAGTTGCACAGGGGCCAGAGCCAGCCCACTGTAGGCGCATCCACAGAAGTGGCCACTGTCTTTATAGCCGGGACCACACGGAAATGTGGTGGTTAGGTTCTAGGAGTTGATAACGTCTGCAGAGCTGAGCACCGTATACAACAAAGAGTAGACCCTCAATCAATGTTAGCCCTTTATTCCCAGTACACTGTCAATACCTACTATGTACTAAGTACCTACTACAGGTTAGGTAGTGGTGATACTAAAGAGGGCCTTATAAACTAGGGTTTGGAGTCAGGCAGTTTTGAGTTTGAATCCCACTTCTGTCACTTAATGTTCATTGGAGCTTTGGCAAATGTTCTTAGTTGCATTTCTCTTTTCTCTGAATTGTGCGTAATAGTAATTAGCACAGTACTCATGGCATTGTGATGGCTCAGAAGTGGTTAGGTGTTGAAGATATTTTGACATTATTACCAAAGTCTTACTGTGCATCCCTTGCAGATGATGGAGCTCACAGTTTAACAGGAATGAGAAACACATAAACAATGGATGCTCTGGTGAACACAGGCATGATCTTGAGAAAAGAATGCACTCCTCCCCCCCATAGATCTAGAGACTGCCTCTTCATTTTCAGGAAACTGCCCTTGTGGGTATCAAGAAGGTCAAGGTGACAATTCAGCTGTCTCAGCAAAGCCTGAAGAATAATAGAAAGATTCCACTGCCGCGTTTAAAATTGACTCATAAAACTATGCAGGAAAATGGCAAGGTTGCATTGTATGTTTAAATATAAATTTCATCAGAAGCCTGGGAAATATTTCTGAGGTTTAGAATTCAGGCCACACACCTGAAAGCAAACCTTTGTCAAACCAAGAATTCCCTTACAAAGCAGTTCTTCACATTATTTGGCATTCGTTTGTCACATAGTAATTATCCTATTAATCCAAATTAAACCCTTATCTTAGGCTCTTTATCCAAAGTGTGAATATAACAATTAATGGGGGGGGGGCTAAAAAGGAGGAGGATTTTAGAATCATGCCTTTTCATGAGAGTAGACATTGCGTTTTTTTGGCAGCAAGAAAGAAATACACTTTTAACATACGCAGTGTAAGAACTAAGACATGAATATAGTTAAGAAATATGATAAATTACAGGTTTTTAAAGGTCTTCAAAGTTCATATAGTGATCTGCAGGGAGATTATAAAATCGCAAGCAGTCTCAGTTAGTGGGCACACCAGATCCTTCTGGCACTTTATATTCCAGAGACTTCTATTTATGTGACCAAAGAGTCCTATAAAAGACCGTCACTTAATACAGGATCCCATCCCACAGATCCAACGGGCAGCAGCAGAGAAATCCTAGGGTAGGACTTCCCAAATGCCACGAGGAGCCCTGTGCAGCTGCTTTGTAAGAACACTCTCAAAACCTAGATGACGGGTTGATAGGTTCAGCAAACCACCATGGCACATGTATACCCACGTAACAAAACTACACGTTCTGCACATGTATCCCAGAACGTAAAATAAAAAACTAAAAAATAAAAAGAACACACTGGAGAGCCTGCTAAGAGACATATTCTTCTGCCCCACTTTGGAAGATTCTATTCAACAGATCTGAAGCATGGTTTCAGGATCTGTAGGTTTTATCAAGCTCTCCACGTGATTCCGATAGCTAAGAGTGGAAAATTAGTGTCAAATGCAAAGTGCAAATCACACCTGACAGTGAGAATCTCCTAGGCAGTTACATAAAATACAGACCTCCAGGCCACACTCCAGACTCACTGTATCTGAATCTCTGAGTTCTGAGCCCAAATGCCGTTTCACCTCCCCACAGATGAGTCTCAGCCTCTGACCTAGTATGAGCTTATGCGTCAATGCTTTATGTCTGTAAATCCACTTCCTAACAATACCAGTCAGTTCAGAACTGGAGGCAGCTTTGAGTTTTAATTCACCTGTTTTACCTACTAGACCTGTGACTCTGGATCAGTTCCATGACCAAGAAAAGTCTCTGGTGACTCATCTGTGAAATAAGCACAGGTTATTGTGAGGATTAAATAGTAGTGAGTATAAAATCTCTAGTAAACTGTCTGGCAGGTAGTGGGTATTGAATATTTATTTCTCACCACCATAACTTTATTTATATCTTAACTTCAATATAAATTCACACATTTGAGTAAATCTAAAATAGAACATTTTGGTGGAGGAATTATGATCAGAACAAAAATAAGGTCACATTTTGCTTTTGCTAAAAGAGAAAAATGAAAAAAAACACCAATTTGTGATGAGGTTGAAATTAAACCAGTACATTTACACTGCCATAGGCAAAGTGAATTGACAAGTCTTTTGGAGATTTGATGTGTTTTTAAAATTATAAAAATGCTCAGATATTCTGACTTAATCATTTTCCTTCTGGAAAATTTTCTAATGAAATCGTCCCCAAAGATGGAAAACACTATTTTGATCAAGATGTTCACTTCAGTAGTGAAGAATTTTGAGATGAATGTTGAATGTTCAACAAGGCATTTAAGACCAGGTACATTCATTTAGATGTAATATTATGAAGCTTCTAAAAGCAATAGTATACGTTATACAGCAACAAATAAAAGTAGCCACACAGTAATGAGAGAAAGTCAGAGCGTAAAATTGTATCTATTCTATGATTACAAGTTTAAAGTATTTATGTATAGAAGACATGAAAAATGAATAACTGACTCCAAGTCTGAGATATGATTTTTTAAATTTAATACTATTATTATTACAATACTGCTGCATGTTTAATGACTACTTGAAAATATTGCTCATCCGTTTTATTACTTAGCAGAAAAAGACAGCATCCACAGAGGTTCTGACATAAAGCCACCTTGAATATCTCTGACAATTAAAGAAGAATCTCATTTGTATTATAGGGCTCCCCTGGTTAATCACCAAGCCCCAAACAGAAGGAGATCAGGTTCAGTGATAGGAAAGAAAAAGGGTAACCCAACAAGCGCATGCCAAGCTGGACACAGGAATATGAGCTAAACCCAGAACGATGTCCAAATTCAGGTCTGGAAGGGAGTGTTGATCCACAGGACGGCTGCACCTGGAAGGCATCAGAGGTATGGATGCCTCTGCGGGTTTGTTACGTCCTGAGGCATGGGAAAAGCAGCGGAAGTACATTTTCACATATACTGAGTAGAGTCTGAGATGAGCTGAGCTGAGCATTAGCTGGGATGGCCTAAAGAAGGGATTGGTTCTCTTTTCCTATGCTTATTCTCTTCTCCATATCCCTATGTGCTCCAAGGCCATGCCTGATTCTATGGGTGCACTTTTGACCCTATTATGGTGTTGGTATATTTGTTTGCTAGAACTACACTTTGCTTAAGAAACAGAATTTTGTTTTCACACAATTCTGGTAGCTAGACATCCAAGATCAAGATTTCAACAGGGTTGGCTTCCTCTGAGGCCTCTCTCCCTGGCTTGTAGATAATTGTCTTCCCCTCCCTATGTCGTCATGTGGTCTTTTCTCTTTATTGTCTGTGTCCAAATCTCCTTCTCTGTTAAGGATGCAAGGCAGATTGGATCAGGGACCACCCTAATGATCTCATTGTAAGTTACGTGCTTCTTTAAAGACTCTCTCCAAATACAGTCACATCCTGAGGTACTGGGGCCTAAGGCTTCAACATATGGATTTTGCAGAGAACACAATTCACCCCACAACAGTTGTCGTGCTTTAGCTCAGAACATGAAAAGGGTCCCTGGAGAACCAGGTAACCAGTCACATGTGCAATACAAGGTGTGCATGGGCAGAGAGACTCTGTGTGTTGGGAAGAATCTTGGAGATTAAACTTGACCTAATCTTGGAAATTACTTGACCTTCATTTTATAGAATAGAGGGAGACTTGGGTGGGTTAGGTGAGCTGCCTGGGACTATAGCAGGCAAGTTCACCTCCATCTTTGGAGCCTCCTGGTCTTTTTGAGATACCATGCAAGTTATCACTTTTTTTTTTCCTCCTTCTCATCCCTGGACTTCCCCTTCTTCCCTTGAAGTAATCCTAGCTAATTGTGTCTCAAGCCTGAGTCCACAGAGACACTAGCCTTGACAGAGGGGGATTCTGAGTAAGGGTCAGAGGCTACATGAGTCCTTCTTCCCCATCCTGAGATGTAGTTCTGTTGGATCCAATTGAAGGACAAGAATAAGAAGGCTCCATCCTATTCCAGCTGAGGCCTTTTATCTGCAGGCTTCTGGAACAAGTGGAGTAGGAAAAATGGTTCTCATCAGAGGACTCTACTTCCCCACCAAGGAAGAGGAAAACCCCGGCCAAGATGATTCCTCATGCTGAAAAACAGTTGGGCTTTCGGTCTATTTCTCTGTGCCTCCCCCTCTTTCTGACCTCTTCCCCTTCAACAGTGGCCTCCTTCGCATTCCTCAGACATGCCATGCACCATGTTCTGTCCAAGGACCTTTGCAGTGGCCGCTCCCTGTTTGTCATGATCTTCAGATCTTCAAGTATTCATATAGCAGCTTCCTTCAGATTCTCTCACTGAAGCCTACCCTGATCATCCTATTTAAAACTGCAAGCCACTACATCCCCCAGTCCTACACCTATTACCACCTATGCCTTTTCTGTTTTTCTATAGTAATTATCACTTTCTAATATATTCTATAATTTATTTACTTTTTAGGTCTTTGTTTATTGTCTTTCACCCTCCACTAAAACACACACAAGTCAATTATTTTTTTAAGAATAACGAATTCCAAGAACTAAGAAGGCACTCAAGAAATAGCTATTGAATGAATGAATGAATGTCTTCTACCCACAGTTTGGGGTGACTAAGCATTCTTTTCTCCAGCCAACTGAAGTCTCCTAGTAAGGAGATTAAGAGACAGGGAGAAGGAGGGAAAAGGATGTTGGTTATCCCTCTGTGTACTGGTTTGGAGAAACATAAAAATGTCAATTCTAATTATATAATAATAATAGTGGAAAGATCTTACGGTTATTGAAAATCTATTTGGCTGCAGTCAATTCAATAGTTATATCATACAGCAATTCTTTACAGATCCAAAAATTCAAGTTCAGAAAAAAAATAGGTCCCTGTTTTAAGATCACGCAGGAAGTAAAAGAAATCAAATTAACAATAAAATCCAGATCGGCCTGGATCCCACATTCATTGCTTTTGGTACACCATCACTACAGTCCTTTATTTAATGACACACCAGGACATGTTCATTTCCCTCTATTTTCTTAGAGGGGATATTTGTCATGAGAGAAAATTAGCTCCCTAAAGATTCTGAGTGAGATATCACCTGACCTCAACTTTATGGCTGTCTGAATATCAAACCAAGGCCCCCTCTTACCTAGTGGATTCCCATTTCAGTGTTATAATACATGTGGGTGTTGACTAATTTGGGGTGTGTCCTCTAGCATTTGTTGCCTACATTAAAGTACTGTCTTATATGACTGATGGAATTTTATAAAGAAATAACAATTCAATGTTTTCTTTACAAAAGCATCACTACAACTTCTTTGTTTTTCTATGTTCTTTCTTAAGTGGAATAAAAATGGATAGAGTCATAATTAGCTTGCCCAGAATTGCCAGATACACCAAGGGAATGAGCCACCCTTGTGCAGGTTCATGATGGGTGGGTCTGCTCAGCCAGTGGGCTGCTCACATGAGATCTGTACATCCGGGCTGGGACCGATCCTCTTCTTGAGCCACACATGTCTGCAGCAGGTATTGATGTTCACATCACAAATGTAGAGTGATAGAATATCTCTGTTTTTCCTAAAGTATAAATAAAGATATGCTATAAGCCCCCGTTTTGAAAAGCACAAACATTTAACCTCAATAGATTTATGGAGACTTGGTCAGCTGGCCTATGTCTTAGGTATTACGGGGGAGCAGTAATGAGACACCAAGCTTTGCTGGATATGAAGGTGAAATAGATGTTCAATTATCCATCTGTGCACATCGTGTCTCCTCATTCTGAAAGCAGGCATCAAGGCCCCTTCATGTTCACTGCTGTCCTCATCTGTGGTGCTCAATTGTACATGTCAGTTTGACTGGACCAAGGAATGCCCAGATAGCTGGTAAAATGTTACTTCTGGTTGTGTCTGTGAGGATCTCTGGAGAGATTAGCATTGGAATCAATAGACTGAATAAAGACAATACCCTCCACCATGTGGACCAGCATCATCCATTCTGAGGGTCAGAATAGAACAAAAGACCAAGGAAGGACAAATTTGCTCTTTGCTTGAATTGGGACATCTAAATTTTCCTACCCTCAGACATCAAAGCTCCTAATTCTTGGGTCTGTAAACTTGGACTGAGAATTCTCTCTTATATATATATAAGAGGGAGAGAAAGATAGATAGATAGATAGATAGATAGATAGATAGATAGATAGATAGATAGATGAGAGAGAGAAGATGGATGGATGGATGGATAGATAGATGAGAGAGAGAAGATGGATGGATAGATAGATGAGGGAGAGAAGACGGATGGATAGATAGATAGATAGGTAGCTATTCTATTGGTTCTATTTCTCTAGAGAACTCTGACTAATACCTCATCCATTTTATCATTTTTCTCTTTTTGGAATTTCAGAGCATCCTACTGCCCTTGTGTACCTGGGGACACCAAGAACTCTCCTTTCCTATTAAGAGCTCCTGGAAACCTGAAGCAACCCAGGAGATAAGGACCAGGGCTTCTCTCACAAATCTATGGAGTACTAAGCCTCAGTCTAGAATCCAGGATATAGGGTATCTTATCCAGGACTCACAATCATCCAAGTCCTCCCTTTGGTGTCCTGACTCTCTTCTCCATACCACCCATGACTTTTTACCTAATCTAGAAACAAGGTTGCTTGACTTTTTATCTCTTCATTCCAACCTACCACCAATAGCCTAAGGTTTGTGCCTCCAATTCTTTGTGGCTCAGAATTTTGAAGATTAATGTTTATGTTCCTTAACTCCCAAAGCATATTCCATCTTGATACTCAAAAGACTAGAACTGACTTGTTTTCTGGGCTCTGTGGTAAATAATCTAACCTGAGGCAGTAGATCCTTCATTGTCTCTTTTGAATGGAGAAGAACGATGGGTTAAAAAAATTACGAAGATTAAAAACTTACTGTCAAAATAGTATCTTACTAGACACCTTAACTAATGAGGGAAACATGTGGTCAAACTCATCAAAAACCAGTGTTGCTAACTGAGAACTATGAGCTGATAGGTATCATCTCTATTGCACAGGACAGATAAATAAGAATTCTCAGAATTCTCAGGATCTTCAGCTGCAGTTGCCTCCTGGCAGGTTTTTGTGTGCCAGGGACTGGAAGCTTTTTAAAATTTTTTCATCATTTTCCAACTAATATGTCAGATTTTGGGTGCCCTAGTCCAGTGCTTCTCAAACTCTAACATACATGCAAATCACCTAGGATATGGTCAAAATGCGATTCAGATTCAGCAGGTCTGCAGGGAAGCCTGAGACTATGCATTCCCAAAGAAATCCCAGGGGCTATTGATGGTGCAGGTTCATGGACCAAATTTTGAGTACAAAGTAGTAGGTTGATTTCATCTGCAACTTACTCATATGAACCCTATACTCCAAGCCTGCCAAATACCCATAATTTTAAAATTATGTTTTTTCTGTGTTGTTTGTCCTCTGTCTAAAAGAGCTACCCAGATTAGCTGTTTGTTTCTGTCTTTGTGGTTGTCAATCCTCAGGCCATGCTCTCCTGATCCCTTACTTCATCCATGTCCTAAACAGGGGGGGTTTGATACAGTTGCCATGTCAACGCATCACGCTGCTCTCTAGCTTTTTTTTTCTTATGCAACATATTATGAGTTCATTAAATACAGGGATTATGTGTGTCCTTTCTCATTACCTAATATAGTGTGTGGCTTAAACCAGATATTAGTGATTGCTTGAATGAATGGATGACTAAATGAATGAAGCTTAATGTTTGACAGGTGAGCAATGGCACAAATTATATGAACCACGTATAGATATATGCACAGGGGGAAAAAACCCTCCCAACCTCATATTCTGACAAGAACAGATGATCAAGGCTGTGTGTAGATTGCTAGGCCTGTTTCAGAAGAGGGGCCAAAGACATTGAGATTTTATTCTGTCACTAATGAGATGAATTAATCTCTAGGACTATCTGTGTAAAGAGATTCATTCACTTTATACCTCCAGCACTCTGGGGTGGGAGTGGGGCAACCAGGAAGAGGGGAAGAAAAAGATTTCTCCTGCTCCTCGAGGCTCCAGGAGAAACCTCATTGCACAGTGGAGATCACAAGGGGAGGCCCGTGGCGATTATTACCTTTTGAAGATGGTAGATTCATTTCTGCAAAAGCCAATTCCAGGTTTGTTCCCATTAATCCCCTGCTTGATGAGAACGGCGGGGTGTACTGCTAATGGTTTCTGGTTGCTTTTGGGCTGATGTGAAATGCATGTGATAATTAGCTAACTAAATTAGTTCTGTTCTGTTCTCATTATTTTTTATATAAAATGGTTTTGTAGGGATGGATTTTTATAACAATGTCTGGTCTAATTTCTCATTATCACCATTGGTTAAAAAAACCTGATAACAATTTTCTCCCCATTTTCAAGGATATCTCTTGTACTCACCTCTCTTGGTGATTTTCAAACATGCTCATGTATGTATGGCCTATTACATACGAAAAACACTAAAATTCTGGAATTGTCTCCGTCCTCTGTCTTTCCTTTGGGTTCATAGGACTGTCATCACTATTGGATTTCCTCTTGAATATTCACAGGTCAGTGGTGATTTTCCTCATGGCTCTAAATGCAGAGAGAAGCACAGGATTTTCTGCTACTGCAAGCACAAGGACTTTCCACCCCAACACGTTAACATCCCAGATGTATGACATGAGCCACTCTCTGGGACTTGCCCATCTGTTCTAAGTCTCAACCACCTGGTGATTATGCAGAAAGAGCAGAATGCATGCGGCTTTTTGTCCTGGCATGGCCATTAGGTTTTAGGGCCTTACAAATCCCTGCATATACAACCTGCTCTGGAGAGCTCCCTGTAGGATTTTTGATAGTGCATTATGCTGAGTTGCTTGAAATTAGTTGAATTTGCACCTCCTTCTTAGAGGTTGTTTCTTATTTTTGAACAAACCAATTCTGGACAGTCTTATATATAGAAAAATTCCCAGACAATATTGTGAATTGAATTACATGACTTTGTCTATTTGGGACTCAGCTACTGCATCAGCAACATAAGATGTGCTCCAGGGTTAATTTTCCTAAATGTGATATGGATGTTGTTAAATGATATACTGAGATTTAGTTCTTATACTAATTGGGTTACTATGGTGTAACTTTTTAAAAGATTGCCATAGATTCTGTGACACTCCTCCCAGGGTCAGATGGGGTCTAATTTATCTTCCTGTGCTGGGCTGGCCTGAGTGAATTGCTTTACCAAGAGGAGTGAGTGGCATACTGAGACTTTTTTTTTTTTTTTGAGACATTGTCTCACTCTGTCACCCAGGCTCGAGTGCAGTGGTGCCATCTCAGTTCACTGCAACTTCTGTCTCCCAGGTTCAAGTGATTCTCCTGCCTCAGCCTCCAGAGTAGTTGGGATTACGGGCCTGAGCCACCATGCCCAGCTAATTTTTTGTATTTTTAGTAGAGACAGGGTTTCACTAGGTTGGTAAGGCTGGTTTCAAACTTCTGACCTCAAGTTATCTGCCTGCCTCAGCCTCCCAAAATTCTGAGATTACAGGCATGAGCCACCACGCCTGGCCCACATACTGAGACTTCTGAGGGCAGGACATAAGAAACCTTATAGCTCAGTCTGGAGGATAACAGCCACCATATAAAGAGTCTGACAAGCCTCCCACCGCCATGCTGTAAGGAATCTCAGGTTTCATGTGGACAGGCCACATGGAAGGAGGAAGAGAGAGAGAAAGAGAGATACCCAGCTAGGCTCCTGCTAATTAAACCATCTTAGTTCAGGTGCTACACGTGAGAATAATGATGCCATTTTGGATGTTCTGCTCAGTAGAGCTTTCAGATGACTACAGCCCCAGCTATGCAAAAGAAAGCCCAAGCAAACACCATCTAGTTGAGCCCAGTCAACCCACAAAGCCATGAGAGGCCATAGTAAAGTATTTCTTTTTAAGTCACTAAGTTTTGGATGATTTGTTTAGCAGCAACATAGAATGTACAAACAAATAACTCAGTATTCTCATCTATAAAATAGAGATACTTACGCCTATCTCCTGTGAATGCTGAAACTTAAGTATAAATAGGTAAATCCCTTAGCACATTACCTGCAGGAGGAGATTCTTAACAATTCTCACTTCCTCTTCCTTTCCAGTTCTAATCATTTATAAATTTGTGATCAATTTTTGTAGGTCTGTATTTGCCTTCCAAAGTTCACTTGTCTGAAATATCGTCAGAAAGAGAAAACACTTACAACCATCCATTTATTTCATCAGTCACTACTTTCAATAATAGCTAAATCTTAGCCATCCAGAAACACCAAAGAAATAATAATCTGGATAGTTAAGTTTTATGGTGAGTTCAGCATACATTTTTCATAATTTTCAAAAATTTATTTTAAAAATCCTAATTTAGATGTAAATCTTGTTAACATCGATTATACTTTTTTATACTATTAAAATACCAATATACTCAACATGATGTGATATTAATGTTCACTGATCACTTAGTCACTGGGATAAACACAAGTTATTATATTGTATTGTCATCTAATTATTACATAACCATTTGTGTGTACATCACAGATCCCTGGTTGCTATCATTTTTTTTTTCTTGTTTAGTGAGTTCTTTCCCATGCCTTTCTGCTAAACAGGTTAGCTGTCGCATCCTGGAACTGACAATATAATTGTTTCTGGGAAACTTCTCAGAGACTGCCTGGACCACTGGCCAGACTACACATGTGTGCCTTTAGGTCAGGTGTCCACTCGTGGTCTGTCAGCTGTTGCATGTTTGGGTGATGAGACAGAAAACATAATGACTACGGGGGGGAGTGGAATGCTACAGAAATACAAGACAATCAACTGAAGGCCTTGGGAGGCACATCCTAATATCTAGACCACTTGAGGGTTCACGGAAGGCTACCTAATATCTAATAAGCTGTAGCAGTAAGGCATTGCTCTTACCGCTCCCATATTAACCTGGTCTGTAGAATTTAATTTCCTGATTTGCTGTCTGCTTTCCCTGATGATATGGCGGCTCTTCTTGTAACTTCAAATCATCTGTTTGCTGCCTTGACAATTTTTCAGGTCCTTACCAATCCCAGTCCCTTCTTTTTGGGGTTTGGACTCCATCCAACTGGCTGCCGTTTGGGGCCTGAATTCGCATTGAGAAATAGTGCCTGGATCCAAGATGCCACCATCATAGAGTATTATTCCCTAGAGATTAATAAGAAGAAATAAAATCAAGCCTTGAATAACAGTGCAGTTCAGAATGAGCCAAAGGTCATCTCCCACTGGACAGTACTCCACATTTATTAGCATTACCCCAACAACCATAATGATGATTGCTAATATTCTGACAGCAACTCAGCATGTCCCATGCATCATACTAAACATAATCTTATGAGCTGGATTTTACTATTATGCATGGTCCATAAAGAGGAAATAAAAGGCAGAGCGGTTGAGAGAATTCCCCAAAACTACAGAGTGAGCAAGAAGGAGCGGCAGAATCCAAACCCAGGCAGGGAGTGTGCTCCCTTACCGACTGCACCCCAGTGCCTCTCACAGTGCTAACCCAAGCCTGGCCTTGGCAACCTTACTTTTCTTACTTTTGCAGCTCAGTGAAGACTGTCTGGAATGCATCGTGGCACAGGCTGTGTGTGTTGTCACATTCTCTAGTGACCATTTTGGAGCTATCTTCAGATCGTGCATCAGCGTAATTAGAGAAACAGTGATGAATTACTGAAAAAATTAGCAACTCTAGCTCCCCAGTGAGATCCATTACAATTTTCCTGTCGAATGCTGGCTAGTTTACATGATTTTAATTTCTCATATTCCTTAAAGAATTGCATCTTGGGAACATATCTCAAAAATTCCATATTCCTTGACTATATTGTTCTTGTTCTACCGTACTTTGAAATTTAATTCCTGATTGGAAAGAGCATAAATTTTTGTCACTGCTACCTAGAAACATAATAATGTTTCTTCATCATAACCATAAATCTTTCTCGTCTTTCATTCTCCTTAAATTTAAGTGGAAATTATTTGATAGATTAGAAAAGTCCATAAATGGCATTCAGACATACTGCTTTTTTATAATTAATTTCTATTTAATTTTTTTAGCCTATGTTTTTAACAACGGCTCTTTGTCAAGGTCTTCATTAAGCTTTAACTGTTTCAATGTCTATTTTTTTCCTTATCAATAGGGAATTTAAAATTTTTCCTAGCCATGTCATTTTTAGCTGTGATCTATCCTTTACTACAGTAATAAACAGACTAACTAGCCTGTATTTCTAGTTGTCATTTATTGAAGCAGTTAGTAACTCAGCTTCTCAGAGGATCCAAATGTATCCCTAGGGGAATTCAGTTTGCCTTTTTGTTGTACATATGACATTCGTAGAAACCCTGGTCTAATAACTTTATTATACAAATAAAAATAAAAAGATCAAAATGTTGACGGCCTTAACAGTGTGAGTTTAGAGCCAAGGATCCTCTAATTTTTTCTCCTGTGGTTACTAAAAAATAACAAGTAATAAGATTATTGTTGGTTTTGAACTTCAGACACCCTAATTAAGATGGTGGAAAAACTTCCCTTGGAACATCCAGTTCTACTCCCAAAGATAATAAAGAGATCACAGACAAAAGGAGCATCACGACCTTTTTAAAATGTTTATTTCTTTCCTCATACTCCATTACCCAGAGAAAAACAATAAATAGCAACCACAATGAGAAACAGGGAGGTGGGAAGACAGGACAAATGATGTACAGTCATGCACCATGTAACAACGTGTGGGTGAATGATGGAGCACAGATATGATAGTGATACCATTGGATCATAATGAAACGTATCTAACAACTTGATATATGGCACTTGATATTGGCATTTCAGATCAAAGAGGATAAATAATTAATATTCAGTATAAATAAAAATGTATACATCATCTGCGTTTCTGTAACTGTACTCTATAATGTTTGGACAACAACAAAATTGCCTAATGACACATTTCTTAAAATGTATCCCCATCTTTAAATGATGCGTGACTACATATATTTTTAAAGTCTTAACTCTAAAAATAAGAGGCATAGTTGAAAATGTGGCAAATAAAAAGTCACTTTCTAGAACCCAAAGACAGGTAAGGAAATTTCTCATTGAATTTTCTAGTTGAAGGAATCAGCCTAAATTCCCTTTAATGAGAGACTGGCTAAAGAAAATGTGGTACATATACACCATGGAATACTATGCAGCTGTAAAAGGTAATGAGGTCATGTCCTTTGCAGGGACGTGGATGGAGTTGGAAGCCATTGTCCTCAGCAACCTGAAGAACAGAATACCAAACACCACATGTTCTCACTTACAAGTGAATGATGAGAACTTATAAGTGAAAGCTGAATGATTAGAACACATGGACACATGGGGGGGATTAACACACACTGAGCATCTGTTGTGGGAAGGAGAGCATCAGGAAGAATAGCTAATGGATACTGGGCTCAATACCTGGGTGATGGGATGATCTGTGCAGTAAACCACCATGGCACACATTTACCTACGTAACAAACCTGCACATCCTGCACATGTACCTCTGAACTTAAAATAAAAGTTGAAGAAAAAAAGAAAAAGAAAAAGTCAGAAAAGCAATCCATTTTGAAGTGGGTGTGTTCAGGATTCTTAACCCCTCATTTGGTATAGTCTGATGGGCCAAAACCTGAACCATTAATCTCAGCTTACCAGATGAGAGCCCTATGCTTGCCTATAGGTCTGTGTGTTTTTTCTGTACTTCGGTACCAATGACTAGAGATGGTTTTACTTAGCATTACAGGTAGCCACTTAAGGCTAAACTATACTTGTCTTAACCCACTGCATCCTAAATAACCACTACCTTGGAAGTGGGGCCAATGAGATTCTTCAGCACTGACTGATAATCTTTTCTCTAGTTCCTCTGCTGGAGAGGTATAGCTTATTTCTTTCCATTTCCTCCTGTAGCATCAGGTATATTCCATACACTATTGTACCTTTCAATAGTATGCTAGGCTAATTACATCTGACTATTCCATAAGTCATGACAACAAAAAGGTCATTCTTCAATCTTTGCTGTTTCCTATGTTCTCACTGTTTAGTCTGGATCAGCTGGTCAGCTTGAGTTAAAAGGGTTGGAGGAATTCAGAACAGTCATTTTCCACGGCCAGACTTCCCAGGGACATTTAGCATACATTTCCATATGATGTTGTGGTAGTGATAAGTGACTAGGCTGGTGAAGGAATATTGTAGGAAATCATCAAGAGGGAAGAAAATATCTACAGACCAAAGTGGTAGTTCCAGAGAAGCATCAATAGAGATCATCCTGAACTAGGTCGATGACGAATCACATATATGTACTTGAAGCACCATAGGATTCCATTCTAAGAGAGGGAAATAGGGCTCATGTGAATATTTGCTGAGAAGATGTGCCAAGCAAAATAGGACTTGATCCCAACTCATACTACGAGGCCAGTATTAGACTGATGCCAAAACCAGAGAAAGATGTCACAAGAAAACAACAGTAAATATCCCTTATGAATATGGACCCAAAACCCTCAACAAAATACCAGCAAAACGAATTCAGAAACAGATGAAAAGGATTATGCACTGTGACCAAGAAGGATTTATCCTAGGATTACAAGACTGGATTAATACCCAAAAATCAATACTATGTTTATAGCATGAAGAGCAAAAACTACATCATCATCTCAATAGATGGTGAAAAATTATTTCACAAAATTCAATACCCTTTCATGATATAAAAAAAAGAGTCAAACAACTAGAAATAGAGGAAAACATTATACTTAATGGTGAGAAATTGGATGCTTTTCCCTTAAGCTTGAAAATGAGGCAGAGACATCTTCTCTACCCACTCCTATTAAACATGGTACTGGAGGTTCTCACCAGGGTAATTAGACAAGCCAAATAATAATAATAGTAATAGGCATCCCGATTGAAAACAAGGAAGTAAAACTATCACTATTTGCGGATAAAAAATCTTGTACATAATTTTGTTAAGCCAAAGAAAGACTATTAGCAGTAATAAGTGACTTCGGCAGGGTTATAGGATAAGCTAACAATATTCAGTATTTTTAATACCTTAGCCATCAAGAATCTGAAAATAAAACTAAGATGCAATTCTACTTACATTTAAATTTCCCCTAAATTAAAATGCAAAATAAAATACTTAGGGATAAATTTAACCAAAGACATGTAATAATTAATTGTATACTGAAAACTACAAAGCAATTGTTACAATTTCCAGGAGACAGAAATAAATGAAAAGTTACTCCTTGCCATGGATCAGAAGATTTAATGTTGTTAAAATAGTGATAACACCTAAATTGATCTACAAATTCAATGCAGTGCCTATCAAAATCCCAGCAGCCTTATTTTCTTCTAGAATTGGCAAGATGATCATACAAGTTATATGGAAATGCAAGGGACTCAAAATACCCAAATCGATATTGAAAACAAAGAACATAATTGAAAGACTCCAATACTTGATTTCAAATATGCCCCCCACACATACACACACAGTGTAATATTTCTATGCCACAAAAAGAATGGAATCATATCTTTTGCAGCAACATGGGTGGAACTGAGGCCATTATCTTAAGTGAAATAACTCAGTAACAGTAAGTCAAATTCTGCATGTTCTCATTTATAAGTGGGAGCCAAATAATGTGTATATGTGCATGGAGAGAGTGTAGTACTGGACATTGAAGACAGAAAAGTGGGAGAGTGGTAAGAGGGTGAGAGATGAGAAATTACTTAATGGGTACAATGTCCATTATTTGTGTGATGGTTATACTAAAAGCCTGCACTTCAGAGCTAAGTAACATATCCATGTAACCAAACTGCACTTGTACCCCTTAAATTTATAAGATTTTTTTTAAAAAAGGTATTTCTAGTCTCACCAAGGATTTCTGCATTGCTAAATCCAGTGAGCAACATTAAGGAGAGTGTCTTTCCTGCTATTTCAGCAGCACTTAACCCCAGTTGATCCCTCTTCCTTCTTGTGTAAACTCTCCTGCCTCGATTTCTGTGACAGTCCAGAGTTCACACTGCTCCTTTCCCTTCCTGTTTGCATGCTTAGCCCCCACTACTGAGGAATTAAGTGTTGATGTCCCTCAAGATTTGACCTTAAGTTTGCTTCTCTTCATGCTCTATCCTTTATAAAAGTTGGTAAAGATGTGGCTTGCCTATTGGTCCAAACGCTAAATACATAATCATTTCATACCCACAGTAGCTATGTGAGGTAGAGGGTTCAGGCAAAACCTACATATGTCCAAGGCCATGTGCTATGTTTATAATTCAGTAAGTCCAAAGGCTGGTAAAACCACTGTCTTACCTCTGGATGATTTCACCTACTTCCCTTACTTCACTTCATATCTGTAGGCTGATAACCCAATGTCTTATCTCCATCCCTTCTCTTTCACTCAGTTAACTTCTAGTCAGTCATCGGGTCTTATCTCAAATGTTACTTCTTTTCCATAACTCCCAAACTAGGGGATATCCTGTTATGTATTCTCATTTCCTTAACGATGCTTAGAAGGACAGTTATTTTACAGGTATAGGTTTACATATTCAATTAATAACCCTCCCTCTCCTCCACAGAGAATAAATTCTGTAAGGGTTGAGTCCAAGCTACTTTTGATGTCTTCTGTTTACAGCAGTATCCAGGACAAAGTAAGCATGGAATAATAATTTAGTAAGTGAAGGAATGCATGTGTGAATAACTAGTCAAACAGACCTTTGTTGATACCCTACTTCTTCACTGTGCTGATGGGACTTTAAGTAACCAATTGACTCTCCTACTCCAGTATTCCTTATCTGTAAAAGGAGGATCACAATACTCCCAGCCATGCAGGTTTTCTGTAAGGATTAAGTAAGATAATATATTTTAAAAGCTTCCAGCAAAGTTCCTGGAATGTCATAAATGTTCAGCGTTCTGACAACCTATACTACAAGAGCTTCATCTTAGAACAGCATCTAGAGAAGGACGGGATTTGCCCAACATCCCATAGCTTGTGGCAGAGGCTGGATTGCATTTTACCACCTTCAAGCCGTTGTTAACTCATTGTTCATCTGTGTGACATACTCAACTTTCCATTTTGGCAAGATTACTCTGGCTGCTCTGTGTGTGTGTGTGTGTGTGTGTGTGTGTGTGTGTGTGTGTGTTGGGCAGCAGCCACCTTTCCTGTCTCAGACCATAGCTTTAACAGCACTTTCTTATGATAGTGGAGTCTGACGTCCTCACAACCCCATAACCCCTAAATCCCCTGGTAGGAAGAATTACAGGATTCAAATGCCTGCGTTTGTAAAGTGGGGAATCATTACAATTCTAAACTCACTATGCTGCTCCTTAAATCCAGTCAGATGATTTCCATTGAATTGCTGCTGTATGAGATGAAACATTATCTTTGTGTTATATTATTATTATTCTACCAAGACATTCAAGCCTCTGAAATGCACTTTGGAAAAGCCTTAGGGTGCATGCTGTTTGGTAAAAGGCATTGCTTCTGCACTGACACCTGTGTGCAGTGGTTTAGTCAACTGCTTGTTTTCACGCCCCTCACAACAAGGGCTTCTGAACTCAGGGATGTTTAACAGGAATCTGAAATAATCAGAAAACAACGAGAGAGGTCCACGGGGGAGCAGCTTTGGCAGGGAGAAAGGGAGTCCGTAATTCACAACTGCCAGTTCCTGGGACCAAAGCAGCCACCTGACTGACAGCCAGGGAAGAGAGCCTTTTTCAGCCTCGTTCCCTGGGCTTCACGCCTTGCCTCTCCATTTGCTCCTGTTCTCTAGCTGCAAAAGGAAGGGAGAAGAATATCTGCTCTGAGCTGCAGAAAGGGGTTTGAGGAAGCTTTTCAACCAGTGCTGAAAGCTGCCCACAATTACAATTATCCATCATGAAACCTGCTTAACTGTGCAAAGCCAGATAACCAATTCTCATTTCTTCGCACAAGTAGGATTTTTCAGGCCCAGGTCAGGCTTTTTCTCTCTTACTCCATTTTTAAAGGGAAAGGAGCATGGTGCTTAATTCAACCAAGGGCCAGCATTTTGGACTGAATGGTTTTACTCCCTTTCCTGCCCTGCAAATTCATGTGTAGAAACACTAACCCCCAATATGATGGTCTTTGGAGATGGGGCCCGTAAGAAGTAAGTAGACCCATGATGGGATTAGTGCCCTTATAAGGAGAGATGTCAGAGAGAGAGAAAGAGAGAGAGAGATCTCCATGATCCTGAACCCAGGAAAAGCCACTTAAGAAACAGCCATAAAGCAGATGTCTGCAAGCCAAAAGAGAGCCCTCAACAACAACTGAATCAACAGGCATTTTGACCTTGGAACACAGAACTGTACAAAATAAATTGTTGCTTAAACCACCTAGTCTATGTTATTTTTTTTGAGATGGAGTCTCACTCTGTCACCCAGGCTGGAATGCAGTGACACAATCTCGGCTCACTGCAACCTCTGCCTCCAGCGTTCAAGCGATTCTCCTGCCTCAGCCTCCCAAGTAGCTGGGATTACAAGCCCTTCCACTATTCTCGGCTACTTTTTGTATTTTTAGTAGAGACAGGGTTTTGCCATGTTGGCCAGGCTGGCCTTGAACTCCTGACCTCAGGTGATCTGCCCACCTCGGGCTCCCAAAGTGCTGGGATTACAGGCGTGAGCCACCGTGCCCAGTCATCTATGGCATTTTCTTATGGCAACCTGGGATAACAAAAGACAGTCAGGGGCCACCATGTAATGAAACATGTATAAAAAGATGTCACTTTTGTGACTTCTAGGAAGCTGTGGCTACTTGGTGTATCGGGTTCAAATGTCCTTTTTTTTGGTCACCCACAGTGTGTGGCTTGGGCCAGAGGAGCAGTTTTCCTTTAGTTAGCACTTCTCTTGGTGGGATTCTGCCTTGCTTTCCAAGCACTCTTGATTCAAAGCCTCCCTGGCCTTGTTAATAGCATCAGACTGCAACAGGGGCTGGCACAATTCAACAATGATTTTGCCCTTTCTAACCCACTGCAGGTGGTAGCTTTTGTTATTATTAATTCTGGCCTCCATGTCATTCAGGTCACCCTGGGAACAGAAGCTTGGAGCACATGGACAAATGGACTGAATATTCCCTTAGCTGCTTGTGGTTAATTCCTGAGTCCATCCTTAGACTCAGCTCTCTAAGGCTGTCAGGCCAGTGGGAGCTAAAATCCCCTCAGTATATACTTAAGGGTTTTGTGGGCTTTTTTTGTTTCTCAGAAATGATTAGATAATTCTCTTCTTTTCTTAAACCTGGGACCTTGAGGAAACCTCAGTGGCTAAAATTTGTCAGCAATGAGAATTAAAGATCCACATCCAAAGTCAGAATAGCCAGATAACTCAGCCCTCATTTATCCACTCCAGAACTCAAGGCTTACTGTCTTTAAAATGAAATGATTAAATAGTCTTATACCTAATATATGAATGTTTTCTCTGAAATAAGTGTGACTCTACACATTTTCCAGGCTCTCTATGCTGTATGACTTGGAAAGGGATTTTTGCATAAATCGTTCTCTACGCCAGGGGCTTCCAAAGCATAGAACCGGCAGCATCAACATCACCTGGGAATTTGTTAGAAATATACAACCTGAGGCCTCATCCAGGACCTATAAGATTGAAAACTCTGAAAGAGGAACCAAGAAACCTGTGTCTTAACAAGCCCTGCTTGATTATGATGTGTTCTTAACTCTGAGGACCACTGTTCCATCTTAGCCATACTTTTTTCACTAATCCTATTTTTAAGCACCTTTACCAATACCAAAAGCATGAAGCCAGATAGTGAAACCTCATCCCTCTTACTGAAGTGACTGGCACAGTTTGGTTCAAATTGTCTGAGAGCTTGTGACTTTTGATCTCTAATTGGTGAACAAGATACCTATGTATCCATAAGAAATGTGCCTTTTCCTTTTTTCAATTTCTTCATTTATGCCTCAGTAGAGTTTCATCATTTGCTTCCAACAATGAACATTTTTCCAGTTTATTCCTAGACAATGTAACTCTTTTGTTGCTGTTGTAAATTAGATCTTTGCTGCATTTGATTTTCTAACTTTACTATTTGTGTCTAGGAAGCTATTTAATTTTATATATTAATTTTTTAACCAGCCGATCTCTAAAATTCTCTTACCATTAAAACAGTTCTTCAGCTGATTCTCTTTCCATGTATACAATCTTATCATGTGCAAATAATAATAAATTTGCCTCCATTTGTATATACTTGATACTTTAACTTATTTTCTTACTGCATTGGTTTGTACTTTCAAAACAATTTAAGTACAAGTAAGTTTGTTCCTGGTTTTTAATGGTAACACTTCTTTTTATTTTACTAATCATGATCTTTGCCATTCATTTTATGTGCATTTATCAGATTAAAAATTTACAAATATATTTCTAATTCAAATTTTATTGGCAAAATTAAATAGAAAATCAAGAAATGCATGTATTTAATATACCAAAATGTCTTCGTCAAGTTTGTGGAAAATGTTGGATTATTTAACAAATACTCCTAGTGGAATTTATTATCTAGCAGAAGAAAACCTATCTGGGCTTCCATTTTATACTATTTCCCAACGGAATTCCCAGGGAACTAAACATTCCAATTAAAAAAAAAATACGATATTGATGATAAAATATGACATTAACAAGGTCAAATAGATGATAAAAATAGATTTTTACTAACTTTTTTCCAATTCCGATAACACATAAAAGGTTAGTGTCTCTAATGTCCAAAGAAAATTTACAAATTCCCTAGGAAAATATATATATTCCGATAGAAAATACCAGGCAAAAGCTACAAACAAGTTACAAAAGAACGAACTCAGATTGTCATCAAACATGAGAGACTCCAATTAATAACAAGAGAGAAATGTAGATTTAAATTGTAAGATGTCTATTTATAACTATCAGACTGACAAAATTTAAAAGGAATAGCAGCATTGTGTCTTGTGTAGGATGCGGGTAATAGGCTTTGCTATGTTCACTGTAGGGAGGTGGATTGCTACTGTTTTTGAGGAAAGCAATCTGGCAGCATCCATCACATTTAAAACACATGTATTCTTCATTCTAGTCATTTTAATCCTGGAAATCACTTTCATTAAAATAAAGCACTAGTACTATAGTTGGATGCTGTGGTGTACCACCCAGATCTCCCCTCAGGACTGAGTCACTAATGCCCCAGGTGTCAGGAGTGTTGTAGCGTATCTTCAATTAGAGTAGCAGACCTGCTATGGTTGATATAAAATAAAGAATATATTATAAAGACAAGACGTGACACAGTGGTGGGAAGTAGTGGAGATGTCTGACCCTACATCTGGTGTTGGGCCTGAAGTCACTGTAGGTCAGCCAGACCATCAGTCACAAAGGAAAGCTGGGCGTGGCTAAAGGAAGAACACACTGAAACTGGGACAGTGATCTGCAGTGCATGAAGACAAACTGGAGTCCAAGTCTCTCACCACCTCCAACCTCAATGCCACAGGAGACTTTCAGGAGCAGCTGGTACCATTCATCACAGATGTGCATACTCACTTGCACAGGGTCAGAGAAGCCAAAAGAGTAGATGTGGTGGGAGTTGGGGAAATTATAGGTCCATCCATTAATCAATCAGGTGAGCTAGTAGATTAGCAAAAAGGTGCACAAGCTGTCTGTGTCTGGCATCCTGTACCGACTTTTATTTTTTAATTTATCTATTTATTTTTGAGACAAAGTCTCACTCTGTCACCCAGGCTGGAGCGCAATGGCACGATCTTGGCTCACTGCAACCTCCGTCTCCTGGGTTCAGTCTCAGCCTTTTGCGTAGCTGGGATTACAGGTGTGCGCCACCACACCCAGCTATTTTTTTATTTTCTTTTATTATTATTTTTTTATTTTTAGTAGAGATGGGGTTTCACCATGTTGGCCAGGCTGGTCTCGAACTCCTGACCTCAAGTGATTCACCCGCCTTGGCTTCCCAAAGTGCTGGGATTACAGGTGTGAGCCATGCCACCCGGACTGTAACAACTTCTAGACATGGCAAAACAGCAGCACATTTACCTCTGCCTTTGGTTATCTCCCACCACTTTCTGTTTTGTCCAAAAGGAACCTAGAGCAATACAGGGAAGGGGATTCTGAGAAATGTAGTTCTAGCCTAGCTAAGATGATAAGGAAAAAAGCTCTGCAATCACTCAGCCAAGTTGCTCTCCAGTAATTGCCCTCAGTCAAAGTAAGCTGCCCCATCCAAGGCTTTGACCCCTCTTTGGGGACAGCAACCACTATGGAGGTACAGAGGCTTAGCCTCCTTGCATCAATTGGACCAACTGCGAGCACCTGATTTCAGAGCCACCCAAACTCCTCAAGGCCTCTGATACAACTGTATTGCAATTCAGTGGCTCCTTCTGCCCAATCCTGGTCCTCTCACCCCTCACAGATGTTCTTCCTGGGAACGCCTCCCCAAAAGCCTCCTGCAGCAACTCTCAGAAACTCAGAATTCGTTTCCCAACAAACCCAACTTACTACAAGTATATATAGATATTTTATGATGCCTTGTTTGTGGTAACAAAATGAGGAGACAATGTGAATTTCAATTATTGGTTGAATATATTAGGTATCTACATCATAGACTATATGCCAGCAAGAATATGTAGTAGTTGCTCACTCAGGTCTCCCTTTTGAAGTGCTCACAGGGAAACGCACTTCCTCAGATCTGGGTGACAGTCCACAGTGCCCACAGGGGCCTCGCGGCATCTCCCAGTCTCATTGGCGTGGCTGTGACTTGGAGCAAAAACTCCCCAGGCCTCATCTGTGGTTGTTTCCTCATTTTCATTTCTAATTTGAGGTATTTGTGATACTTATGCTTTCTCCTCCCACCTTTTTTTTTTTTTTTTTTTTTTTTTTGAGACAGAGTCTCGCTCTGTTGCCCAAGCTGGAGTGCTGTGGTGCGATCTCAGCTCACTTCAACCTCCAAAGCTCTGTCTCCAGGGTGCAAGCGACTCTCATGTCTCAGCCTCCCAAGTATCTGAGATTACAGGCATGTGCCACCTATGCCAGTCTATTTTTTGTAATTTTAGTGAAACAGGGTTTCTCCATGTTGCCCAGGCTGGACTTGAACTCCTGACCTCGGCCTTCCAAAGTGCTGGGATTACAGGCGTGAGCCAGCGCATCCAGCCTCCCTTTTTTACTTTTTAGTTAAAATGTAATTTTTAGAGTTTCCACTAATTTTTCTAATTTTTAATTCACTTATTTCTGCTTTTATTTAAGTTCTCCCTACTCACCTTCAATTTATTTTGTTTTCCTTGAAACCATAATTTTCATGTTTTCTAGTTTAGTAAACATGAATAATTTTTTTTAGTTTAGTTTTAGTTACAATCTATTGATTTCCTGGGAGTTATTTCATGATTCCTGATTCATGTTGTAAAATGTTGGTTTTGATTTTTTTTAACACAATAGAGGGATTTTTAAAGTTTCTAGATTGGAGGCTTTTTAATTTTTCATGTCTATGCTGGGAATTATTTAATAGCTTTTATACAAATTATTTTAAAAATATGATCCATATTACTTTCATTTGAGAATTCTTGGAAGATTTCTATCGCCTAATATATGGCCAATGTTTCCAAATGCCCCATAGGTATTTAAAAACAAGTTACCTTCCGGGTATACAGCAGGGAAAAGTTCAAGAACACATTATTGAGTGTACTTTTTAAATTGCATTTAAAAATCTCTATTGTAACTTGGATTAGTCATGCAATGCAAGAGAAGTTAAACTCTGCTAGTTACCATGTTTCTATATTTTCTCCTTTTATTGCCCACAATTCTTGGTTATGCATTTTAATGTTTTGTTATTTGATGCATGAAGATCACATGAACACTTAGACGTGTATGCGTCTGTAAATTTTATTATTATACAGATCCTTTAGTCATTTAAATTTTTGTCTTGGATTTAACTTAAATACCATTGTTGTGGGCTGTGATTTATTTTTCGTTTGTGTTTGTCTGATGTGATTTTATTCTATCTTTTCACTTTCAAACTTCTGAGTCAATTTCAGATATGTCTCATATATATGGCATATAGTTAGGTTTTATTATTTGATATAATCTGAGTCTTTTTCTTTAATAGGTTAGTTTATCCCACTGACATTTGTTGCTGTAACAGATATTTTTGTTCTGAATTCTGTCATTTGTGTTATTCCATTTGTTTTTAATGTTTCCTATAGCATCTGTCATTAGCTCGATGGTTTGTATTTTCTTTTGCTTTGTATGTATGATTTGGGTTTTAGTTTTGATAATCTGTAATGTTTATAGACTCTATTTCTTATATCATTGGCTTTACTGCTACCTTTATTACTAACATTGCCCTTAAAATATATAAGGTCTAATAAATCTATCAATTTCAAATCGTATCAAATAATAGGAAAGCAATATTTTTACATGTTCTTTCAATATCTGCTTACATATGCCACCACATTTTTGTAAGTTATGATATAATCTTTAAATTATCAAGATTAAAAACATTTATATTTTGCTGTTAAAATGGTCACACTTGTCCAGTTATACATTTAAACAAAATGTATATTTTGTTTAACAAAATTAACACTTGCCACCAACTTTCACCTCACAGCTTCTCTGACCCTAAGCTTCTTATTTTGTTTAATGATTTGTTTGATGGAGTGTTAAACTCACTCCTCATTCTGAACCAATTCTCTCCACTCCTGAGCCTTCCATGTTTCCCATTTTCTGCAGGTCAGAAGCCAAAATTCTTAGTATTATATTCAAGTCCCCCCATGTACTTGTTTCTGTCTGCTTTTCTAGCTTCCTCCCTCATCAATTCCTGCCTCCAAGTTTTCATTTTGTTTGTGGAGCTGCCTATAGTTTATACATGTATCAAACAATTTTATGTTCCCGGACCTATAGCTACATTGCCAAACACTTAACTCTTCCTGCCCTATTTTATGCTAATTCTAATTTGTTCATAAACATTCAGGTCAGAATTTATATTTCAAGTAAAAATTTATGACTGTATAACTTGAACATAGAAAGTTACAAATCCTGAATGTGCAGCTTGGTGAATTTTTACACACAGACACACAAAATCACACCTCCCTATCCAGATGAGGGAACAGAAATTAATCTGCAGGCCAGAAGCGCTGTTTATACACCCATAGTCACTGCCTCCCTCCCCAAGGAACCACTCTGCTGATTTGTTGCCATTAGTTATTTTTGCATGTAAGTTTACATGCATGGAAAAATATTGTATGGGTAATTTCGTGTTTGATTTCACAGGCCCTGCAGTTTTTGGTTACTTCCTTGATCCAGTCTTTGATCACCTCTGTAGCCCCAACCTCTCAAGTCTTACCAGCCCCCATCTATCCCTTCAGCCCTGTCTGCCTTTTTTGTTCTAGATTCCCCCAGCCTGGCCAGTCCAGGCCATCTCTGTAGAAGACTTGATGGCCTCCACTGGACCTGATCACTTAGGGAAGAGAAGAAAAGCCATAGCAATAGAAGACCAAGAAAGGGAGAGATATAGAATCATTTTTTTTTAAGAAGCCAAAAAATAAAAAATAAAAGGAAGGGAGAAAAAAGGAAGAACACATCTAGGGCATTCCTATTTTTAGGTATTGAGATTTTCAAAAAATAGACACACACCTAAATACATATTTGTCAAAGAAAATATGTGTCTTCTAGTAAACTTTTCTACGTTGCTATCTATTTTTAGACAAAGTATATATTATTAGTAGTAGTATTATTTGAGATGGAGTTTTTTGTTCTTGTCACCCAGGCTGGAGTGCAATGGCATGACCTTGGCTCACTGCAAACTCTGCCTCCTGGGTTCAAGTGATTCTCCTGCCTCAGCCTCTCTAGTAGCTGGGATGACTAGCACCTGCCACCATGCCTGGCTAATTTTTGTATTTTTTGTTTGTTTGTTTTTGGTAGAGATGGGGTTTCACCATGTTGGCCAGGCTGGTCTCAAACTCTTGACCTTAGGTGATCTGCCAGCCTTGGCCTCTCAAAGTGCTTGGATTGCTGGCAAATTATATATTATTTGAAGTCCATATCTGATGACTTAAATATATGCATCATCTGCAGATAGGTTTATTTTGTTTATTTCTTATCTTTGTCCTTTTTCTTGGAATTCTCGATAATTTTTAAAAGAATGTCACGTGCTGAGTATGCAAAGATGCCATGCCCTCTGCATATAAAGTCTCTGGATGACATTTGCTTATTTTAGAGAATATTTCCTTCAGGTTATTATTTGTAGTTAGATTAGTAGTAGACCACCAGTCTTGTATTGTGACAACTCAAGGCTGATTTTAGGCTTGGTAAGACATAGGCCATGTCCACCTGACTCCCCTAGACTGCCAGGAGTCCCTACATAAAATTATGGGATGTTTATCAGGGTCTCTTCACCTTCAAGTGCTCTGAATTATAATGTTTATCTCTCTCATACCATAAGGTGGCTGATAGCTCAGCTCCACTTAGCCCCTTATGACCTACTTTCTATTTGGCTTCTCCACCTCTCTGACAGCACAAAATACACATCAGAGAATTTATCAAGAGGAAAAGTTGGTCTCACTTCTCTTCCCTTCTATTTGGGATCTTGGGCACACAAGAAATAAGGTCTATGCAGACCAATTTCTTCTTTTTTTTCCCTGTGAGACTGCCAAAAGCTCTGCCTTGTTTTTAACTTGGTTATCAGCTGGAGCAGCTGTTTCTAACTAGGTTCTTAGACTTTCCACAAATCTTGTTAACGATTCAATAAGTTACTAAAGTGAAAAAGTAGAGTAGAATATCATACTCTCCTCAATACCTTTCCTTGGGGACTTGGCATTTTATATCCTGCCTGCCTTGGTACATATATAAGGTTTTTACACAGATTTTTTTCTGAAATATATGTTATCCAGTTTTGTAGTTGTTCTCATGGAGAGGATTGGTCAGCTATGTGCTAGTACATCATAGGCATAAGCAGAATTCAGGAAGTAGTTTTAAAGCAAGACAACTACTAACTCTCTCCACACCTCTCCCAGATTCATTTTGAAATCATAAAATATGAGAATAAGAGTCATCTGCAATAGTGTTGAACACTATACATGTCTATTGTTCCCATACCTGAGATCTTGACATTGATACCGTAGATACCTGTCTACTGGTTGGAAAGAAGGGCTCATCCAGAGTGTCCTTTTATGCAAAGGCAGATTTACTAAATCTGAAATAAGGAGCTGCAGATGATATAATCACAAGTCTCCAACAAAATCCATCAATTTAGGAAAGGGTAAGAGCTTGATTTGAGGGTGTTCTGTGGTGAAAATAGGCAACACATTTAAATCCTAACAATGCTCTAGGACAACAAAATCATATTGTTGCATGTCTGACTCCATCACTAGAGGGTAAGCTTCCTGAGGGCAAAAAAAAAAAAGGCATCATTTTTCTTTTGCAAAGCCAATTTTTCAGGAAATGTTGGTTAAATTCTGTACCATAATGACTCCCTTAATGCTTAATTTAGAATTTGCTTTGTTCACTCATTTATTCATTTATTATTTTTTTCTAGCAACTCAATGCATATTGGGAATGAGCACCCTTCCTTAAGGACACGGCAAGGAACACAGACGCTAGGGCCTAGGCTTTGTGGGACTTACTATCTAATCCCCTTTCCACTCAAACACTGATTGTTTGGGGATTGTGATCGCTTACTCCTTGATGATAAAGACCATAAGCCTAAATTACGGAAAAAATAGGAAACTACAGAGAAAGAAAATGGAGAAGAAAGTCATGTCTTATTTTTTCATCTGAATTTAACCAAGGTAATGCCTCCTGCTATATTCCTTCATGCATTCTCTTATAGTTCCAAACGCTTATTCATAGATAGTTTTACAAATGTAAATAGTTTTATACCATATATACTGGCTTTTAAAAATCCTATCAGAATATATTGAATAACTTTCTACTTGTTTCCCTTATATTTTGAACCATTATAGACATATATAAGTAGTCCGTGGAGTGACAACATAAGCCACCCCCCACAAAGTTTTAGAAAAAAATGAAAATATTTGCCTTTTACTTCGTATACTTCTCTCCGCCGTATTCTTGTGCCTACCTTTCCCTCCCTACACTGTGAGGCATTCCCAAAGATAACCATTATCCTGATTTTTCTGTTCATAAGTATTTGAATTTTCTTTACTTACTAAATACTTATGCATCTGTCCATGTTGTATAATTAAGTGTATTTGTTAAATTTTATAGAAAATCACATTTCTGAGACCCTTTTTTTCTTCTCAAAATTATAGTTGTAGGATTTATCTCTAGAGAATTATGTAAATCTAGTTTTTTAAAAACTTTAATATAGGATACCACTATTTAGTATAGGTTTTATCACTGTCTTCTTAAACATTTAGGGTTATTTTCTATAATTTTTCACATTTCACCCAAATGGGTGAAATGAACATTCTAATTCATGCTTTCTCAAGTACCTATGTAAGAGTTATAGCCTGAAAGTAAAACTGCTAGTTAAAGGGTTCATGCAATTTCAGCTTAAATAAATATTGCCAAACGTTTCTCTAAAGTAGTTACACCAATTAAAATTCTTAATTTCAATTTACAAGTGTATATGTTGCTACACATCTTTGTCAATTCTTAGCATTATCAGGCTTTACACTTTTTAGCAATTCTATGGCTATGGAATCTGAAATTTCATCATGGCCTATATTTGCAAAACTTTCCTGACAAGTGAGGGTGAATGTTTTTATATATATTAATTGGTCATTTTGGTTTACGCTTCTAAACTGTTTATTTCTTTGGCCAATATTTTAATTGAATTATTTTTGTTGAACTTATTTTAGGGATAATTTTGAACAATTTGCACACTAATTCTTTGTTATCTAAATGCAATACAAGTGACATATTTGCAGGTTTTATATAATTTTTTTTACTATTTTCATTATCTGAAGTTTTAATTTCTTCCTAATAATACTGATTAAATTTTTCCCTTATGGTTTATGAAAATTTTGATTAAAAGCTGCCTGTCTAGATCTTCTTTTTGAAGTTAAAGTTTGGCTGTTCACTTTGAGGTCAATATTTCATCTGCAACTAGTTTTCTTTATAGCATAGAAGTAGAGTGTTTTCCCTATAGAGATAATTGCCACAACATTGCCAATTACAAGCGTGTGATTTCTTTTGCAATATCTGTCATGTGTCAATTTTCTATAGATATTTTACATTTGTATCTAAGATCTTATTCTGTTTCTTCATTCTATTTTTCTATTCTTGCATCAAGACTATGTTGTCTTAGTTACCCTAGCTTCTAATAGTTCTTGGTGTTTGTTATGATATGTCTTTCTTTATTCTCAATTAACTAGGTCATTTAAGACGTTTGCTCTTTGAGGCATATTTTAGAATACACTTTCTAATTCCATTATAAAATTTGTTTGAGATTTTGAGCTGAAATGCTTTAAGTTTTTATATTAATTTTTAAAAATTCAATATTTTATATCATTTCTGTATCCATAGAATGACCATATGAATTATCATTAAGTATATATATGTATCAATGTGAAATGTTTATGTATTGATTAACAAACATTATTATATTGGTGAAATTATAAAATAAATCTCTTCAAAAACTAGTTTCAAAAATTAAGCTATTCCAAAGAAAAAAAGTAACATGTAACTGTGTAAAAAAAGACAAAATGAAAAATTATCTCGTGCATTTGATTATTAAAATATAACATAAGCAGAATAATTATTCTTAAGACATTTACATATTTCATCAAATTTTAGCTCTGTCTCTAATACAGAGGATCTAATATTTTTCTAAATAATTTTTGATATGTCTTTATTATTTTCAATTTTTCATAAATTGGCCTCAAGTGCATTTTATAATAAACTTGAAACTGCTGACACCTTAAACCTACTCTATTCTGTATATTTTCTCTTCCTTTGAAAAAATCTTTATAAACTCATCCAGTAAGTTGCTATATGATTATTTTCAATTTTTTTTTACCAATTTTAAAAACCACAAAATCATACACTTTTAATATTATTTCATTTTAGTGTAGGATAAATGTATCTACTTAAAAATAGACATTCCACCAAAATATTTTTCATGCAAGTCAAGATGTTTGAAAACACAATTATAGAAATTTGACATTTAATCTGGTATGCCATTTTAACTCTTTTTATTTAATTTATTTAAGACCTTTTTGGCTTTGCGGTGCACGAAGTTTATTTATGTAAGGCACACATACAGAGGAGTTTAAAAATCACAATTGTGTAGTTATGGTAACCAGCGTCACATTAAAAAGGAAAAAATCGCTCTGCTCTAAAAGCTGCCCACCATCGTGCCCTCTTCCAGTGACTACACCCATCCTCCACAAAAGACACCACTGCCCTCATTGCTAACACCATGAATTAGTTTGGCCTGCTTGTGTACTTTATATTAATGGTATTATACAGAATGTAGTTTTTCATGTCTGGCTTCTTTTATTTGATACTGTTTGTAAAATTCAGTCATGTTTTGGGGAATAGTTATAGTTCATTTATTTTCATGGCTAAATATTTTATTTTGTATATATAGATTATATTTTATTCTGCACTATAGTGATTTTCAATTTCAAGCTATTGTAAATAGTGGTGCTATATACCTTCTCTTATGCATCTTTTTTTTTTTTTTTTTTTTTTTGAAATAGGGTCTTTCTATTTTGCCCTGGCTGGTCTTGAACTCCCGAGCTCAAGCGATTCTTCTGCCTCAGCCTCCTGAGTAGCTGGGGTTAATTACAGGTATGTTCCACTGCACCAGGCTACACATCTTTTGATGAACTTATAGACACATTTCTATTGGATATACAGGTAGGATTGGTACTTCTATTCTACAGAGTGTGCATGTGTTCTCTTTTATGAGAATCCCAATTGGTCCACATTTTTATGAACGCTTGCTGTTTTCAGTCATTGTTACCTTTAGCCTTTCCAGTGGTGAGTAGTGGTATCGTGTTGTATTTTAAACTTCAACACCACTCATAACTACTGAAGTCAAGCACCTCTTTATACATTTGTTAATATTTTGGTGATATTCATTCATGAAATATTTGTTCATACTTTTTGTTGTTGGTTTGGATGTTTGCAAGGTTTTTTTTTTGGCCAATTCTTCTGCTGGTGGTCTGCCTTTTGGTTATTGATTTGTAGGAATTATTTTGTTGTATTGAATACAAATCTTTGTCAGAATTTTTTCCCCAGATGTGTGACATGCCTTTTTCCTCTGTTACTAGTGACTTTTAATGAATGAAGGTTTTAAGTTTTACTCATAAGTAGAAAAAAACTTAGTATTTTAGTTGAGAGAACTTTTGCTCTGTAGATACTGGTATTTCTATTGAGCTCAGAAAATAATGTTCTAGAATGAAGATACTAATTTCTATATTTTTCATGTTTATAGGTATAAATATTTCAGCCTAACTATGTAAACTCGTAAAATAATTTGCCTGATTCTGTGGCATGTCTTGGATTCTAAGATGATATTATGTGCAAAGTTAGAATTTTCATTGTCTTGTTGTGGCTGCTATTGTCATGCTCACCCATTGCTTTTGTGGGCATGAATTTTCATATCCCCTTTTGTGTTCAAACTTTGTTTTCAATAACAACATTTAATTAAGAGCATCAGCTACGGAATATTTTGACATTCCATTTGTTAATTACTTTAAATAAAGATTTCCAACTAAATTTGCACAAGATACAACTAAATTGAGAAGAACATTTTATTTTAAAAAATGTTCAATAACATCGTAAGCCATGGTGTTTCATTTCCCAAATAGTTTTTCAAAAGCTCAAGTGTTTGTAAACTTTGGTGATAAGTAGCAAAGAAAGAGTATTACTTGCATGGGCCCGGTAATCTCCTTGTTTTGCCAATTTCTTCCCTTTGGAATGGCTTCATTTACCGAATACCTGTACTCCCATTGTAACTAGGAAGTAATTTGCATTTGATTTTTTCAGGCTCATAGGCAGAAGGGGCTTGCCTTGTCTCAGATGAGACTTTGGAAAGTGGACTTTTGGGTTATTTCTGAAATGAATTTAGACTTTGGGGGACTGTTGGGAAGGCACGATTGGTTTTGAAATGTAAGGACATAAGATTTGGAGGGTCTAGGGGAGGAATCATGTGGTTTGGCTCTGTGTCCCCACCCAAATCTCATCTTGAATTGTACTCTCATAATTCCCACATGTTGTGGGAGGGACCTGGTGGGAGATAATTTGAATCATGGGGGCCGTTTCCCCCATACTGTTCTCATGGTAGTGAGTAAGCCTCACGAGATCTGATGGCTTTATCAGGGGTTTCACTTTTGTCTCCTTCTCATTTTCTCTTGCCATTGCCACGTAAGAAGAAGTGCCTTTCACCTCCCACCATGATTCTGAGGCCTCCGCAGCAATGTGTAACTGTAAGACCAATTAAACCTCTTTTTCTTCCCAGTCTTGGGTGTGTCTTAATCAGCAGCATGAAAAGGGACTAATACACTAACTAAGACAAAAAGAGAGAAGACAATAATTACAAATATCAGCTGGGCACGGTGGCTCACGCCTGTAATCCCAGCACTTTGGGAGGCTGAGGCGGGTGGATCACGAGGTCAGGAGATGGAGACCATCCTGGCTAACACGGTGAAACCCCGTCTCTACTAAAAATACAAAAAAATTAGCCGGACGTGGTGGCAGATGCCTGTAGTCCTAGCTACTTGGGAGACTGAGGCAGGAGTATGGCATCAACCCAGGAGGTAGAGCTTGCAGTGAACTGAGATCGCGCCACTGCACCCCAGCCTGGGTGACAGAGCGAGACTCCGTCTCAAAAAATAATAATAATAATTTTAAAAAAATAATAATTACAAATATCAGGAATGAAATAAGTAACATTGCTATAAATACTACAGACATTAAATAGATAATAAGGAAAAACTAGCTTTATATATGCCCATAAATTGACAACTGATATGAAATGAACCAATTCCTTCAAGTACATAAACTTTCTAGCTCACTCACAAACAACAGATAAACAGAACAGATCGATTTCTGCTAAATAAATTGAACTTGAAAAAATTTAACAAAAAAAGGTTTTTTTCCAGATAGCTTCATTGGCAAACTGTATCAAATATTTAATTAAGAAGTAATAACAGTTGTACGCCAATACTTCAAGACAACAGAAAAGGTTAAAAAAAAAGTCCTAACTCACGTTATTATGCCAGTACTACCATGAGGCCAAAACAGTACAAATACAGTCTAAGAAAAGAAAGTTAACAAGCAGTATTCTTCATGAACATAGATGTCAAAGTCCTCCACAAAATATTAGTAAATAAAGTCCAAAAATACATGATGAAGTAGGGTTTATCCTGGGAATGTAAGCCTGATTGAACATACAAAAATGAATCAGTTGTAGCTTATTTCTTATTTGTGCCTGTAAAGTATGTTTCTTCTCTTATTTTTGAGATCAAGAAAGGGTTATATAAATTGAGAGACTTTCCAGAGTCTTGAGAGGTAAAGAGGAATGTTTTCTCTAAACTTCTCACCCAATTAATATAGTATTATTCTGCAAACTTACTACAAAGGGCAAATGATATTTTTAGAAGACATTTAAAAACAATTATAATAAGAACTAGAAGTAATACATGTACAGAAAAAAGAGAGATAGAGTAACATTAATGAAAATATGTACTACTAGCTTTTTAAAAAATATTTTTAATAATATTCAAAACTGGTACATTAGTAGACTTCTGTAGTAAAGAAGTCTATCAATTCTTCAAAGCTGTTCCACATCTCAGTTTTCTTTGCAATTGATTCATGGTATTCACAGATAGTTTTTTCTCTCTAGATATATTTTGGTTTTTGTTGTGGTGGTGGTGGTGGTGGTGCTAGTGGTGAATAGATAAAATGTGTGGTCTTTATTGTAGCACTTTGACAGTCAGCATCTTCAAACTGCCTTTAAAATAAATCCAATCTCTTACAACAAACATTATTTTCAGGGCCATTTCATTTCCTCTTTTATGTTGGGCTAATTTTTATGTTTTAAGGCTGCTTTATATTTGAAGTCCGATGATTTATTTTCATTTCACTTGTGGTATAAGTGCATTGTGCTTTGATTCTAAGTCTGCTTCTTTTTCTCTCTTTCTTGAATTCCTTTTTCCTTTGATAATGCGTTACCTCAAGATATTTTTCTCAAAAAATAAGTACATGGAAATTTTTTTTAAGTTCTAGTACATTTGAACATATTTTAAATTTTCATTTACATTTGATTTATATTTTAATAGATGTAGCATCCTAACTTCAAAATTGTTTTCCCTCAAAATCTACTTCCCTCAAAATATTAATAATATTAATTTATTGTCATTTGACATAGAGTGTTGCAGAAGAGAAGACTAAGTTCTTTGCCATTTTTTCCTTTGTCAGGAATACCATTTTGTTTTGTTTTGCTTCCTGTTTCTTTTTCTTTCCAACTTTTATTTTAGCTTCAAGGGGTACATGTGCAGGTTTGTTACACAGGTAAATTTCATGTCACAGGGGTTTGGTGTACAGATAATTTTGTTACCCAGGTAATCAGCATAATACCCAATAGGTAGCTTTTTTATCCTTACTCTCCCCCAACCCTCTACCACAAGTAAGCCTTGGTTTATATTGTTTCATTCTTTATGTCCATTTATATTCAGTGTTTAGCTTCTGCTTATAAATGAGAACATACAGTACTTGATTTTCTCTTCCTGCATTAATTCACTTAGGATAATGGCCTCCAGCTCCAACCATATTGCTGCAAAGGACCCAATATTTTTTATGGCTGTGTATTATTCTGTGGTGCACATGTACTGTATTTTCTTTATCCAATCAACCATTGATGGGAATCTAGGCAGATTCCCTGTCTTTGTGACTGTAAACAGTGCTACAATGAACATATGTGTGCATATGCCTTTATGGTAGAATGATTTATATTATTTTTAGTATATATTCAGTAATGGAATTGCTGGGTGGAATGGTAGTTCTATTTTGGGTCCTTTGAGAAATCTCCAAACTGCTTTCCACAGTGGCTGGACTAATTTACATTCCCACTAGCAGTGTATAAGTTTTCCCTTTTCTCTGCAACATCACCAACATCTGTTTTGTTTTGTTTTGTTTTGTTTTGTTTTGTTTTGTTTTGTTTGTTTGTTTTTTACTTTTTAATAATAGACATTCTGACTGGTGTGAGAGGGTAACTCATGGTTTTGAGTTGCATTTCCTTAATTATTACTGATATTGAACATGTTTTCATATGCTTGTTGGCCACATATATGTGTTCTTTTGAGAAATGTCTGTCATGTCTTTTGCCATTTTTAAAATGGGGTTGTTTTTTGCTTGTTAGTTTGAGCTCCTTATAGATTCTGGATATTAGATCTTTGTTGAATGCATAGTCACAAATATTTTCTTCCATTCTGTAGGTTGTCTGTTTACTCTATCGATAGTTTCCTTCGCTGTGCAGATGCTCTTTACTTTAATTAGGTCCTACTTGTCAATTTTTGTTTAGTCTTTGTCATGAAGTCTTTGCTGGGGCCAATGTCTAGAATGGTATTTCCTAGGTTTTCTTCTAGAGTTGTTATAGTTTTAGGTTTTACATTGAAGTCATTAATCTGTCTTGAGTTGGTTTTTTATATGGTGAAAGGTAGAGGTTCAGTTTCAATCTTCTGCAAATGGCTAGCCAGTTATCCCAGCACCATTTATTGAATAGTGAGCCCTTTGTTCATTGCTTATTATTGTTGGCTTTGATGAAGATTAGATGGCTGTAGGTGTGCTGCTTTACTTATGGGTTCTGTAAACTGTTCAGTTGATCTATGGGTCTGTTTTTGTACCAGTACCATGCTATTTTAGTTACTGTAGTCTTATAGCATAGTTTGAAGTCAGGTAGTGTGATGCCTCCAGCCTTATTCTTTTTGCTTAGGATTTCTTTGACTATTCAGGCTCTCTTTTGGTTCCAAATGAATTTTACAATAGTTTTTTTCTTTCAAATTCCATGAAAAATGATGTTAGTAGTTTGATAGGGGTAGCATTGAATCTGTAAATTGCTTTGGGCAGTATAGCTATTTTAACAATACTGATTCTTTCTATTCATGAGCATGGAACGTTTTTCCATTTGTTTGTGTCATCTCTGATTTCTTTCAGCAATGTTTCGTAATTCTCATTGCAGAGATCATTCACCTCCTTGGTTGGCTGTATTCCTTGGTATTTTCTTCTTATTGTGGCTATTGTGAGTGGGATTGCATTCTTGATTTGGCTCTCACCTTGGATGTTGTTGGTGTACAGAAATTCTGTGGAGTTTTGTACATTAATTTCTTATCCTGAAATTTTGCTGAAGCTGTTGATCAGATCTAGGAGCCTCTGGCCAAATAATATGGTGTTTTCTAGGTATAGAATTATATAGTCTGCAAAGAAGGATAGTTTGGCTTCCTGTCTTTCTATTTGGATGCCTTTCATTTCTTTCTCTTGACTGATTGCTCTGGCCAGGACCTCCAGTACTATGTTGAATAGGAGTGGTGAGAGTGGGCATCCTTATCTTGTTCCAATTCTCAAGGGAAATGCTTCCAGCTTTTGCCTGTTCAGTATGATGTCGCCTGTGGGCTTGTCATAGACAGCTCTTATTATTTTGATGTATGTTCCTTCAATGCCTAGTTTGTTGAGGGCTTTTAACATGAAGGTTGTTGAATTTTATTACAAGCCTTCTCTTTATCTATAGAGACGATCATGTGGTTTTTGTTTTTAGTTCTGTTTATGTGATGAATCACATTTTTGATTTGCATATGTTGAACCAACCTTGTATCCCAGGAATAAAGCTTACTTGATCGTGGTCAATTAGCTTTTTGATGTGCTGCTAGATTTGGTTTGACAGTATTGTGTTGAGAATTTTTACATCCAGGTTTACCTTAGATAATGACATTTTTATTTTTCTCTGATTATTACTTTCCATAACATGATGTTAAATCATTTTTTTTTTGGTGGGGGGGGATGGAGTCTCACTCTGTCGTCCAGGCCAGAGTGCAGTGGCGCGATCTTGGCTCACTGCAAGCTCTGCCTCCTGGGTTCACGCCATTCTCCTGCCTCAGCCTCATGAGTAGCTGGGATTACAGGTGCCTGCCACCACGCCCGGCTAATTTTTTGTATTTTTAGTAGAGACAGGTTTTCATTGTATTAGCCAGGATGGTCTCGATCTCCTGACCTCGTGATCTGCCCATCTCGGCCTCCCAAAGTGCTGGAATTACATAAATCATATTTTTAAATAATTAGCTCTTTGATCTTTCTGATTAAAAATTTTATTTAAAGGTCTTTTCTGTTACCTGAATAATTTATTTACTTGCAGGTTCAGATGTTCTGCTGACTTCTAATGGTCTTGTGTATGTGTGTGTGTGTGTGTGTGTGTGTATGCACATGCGTGCTGTTGGTTTTCTTTAAGTGCCAAATGATCTGACGTGTTATTGTTGCTATACAGAAAAACTAGTTAGTTTTAAATATTTACTATGTATGTAACCCAATTATAAAATTATCATTATTTATAATAGATTTTCTTTCAGTTTTCTCCTTTTGATTTAGGTAAAATTGCCATTACCTGTGAAGAATTATCTTTTAAAATATTCCCTATTTTAATTAGTATTATTATTTTTATTCTTTTTTATTGTATTGGTTGTAACTACCAGAAAAAATTTAAGTATAGTATTGTAATATGTTTAACAATACTTATTATATAGATAATACATAACATTTCATATTATGTCATAGCATATATAGTTCTTCTAGAATGTAATCATAATGACATCAGCTAATGGTTTTGAAATCATCATGCAAAGTTAGTATACTTCACTTGACAGTTTGCTCAAAGCTTACATTTTATGTTCTTAAATGTAGAAAATTACTATAAATTGTTTTGAAATTATTTTTAACATCTATTAATATTTTTTCTTCTTTGCTTATTAAAATGACAAATTATGTTAATATATCCTTTTGTTGAAATAGCGTCACATTCCTTTATATACTTTATGCACTTGTATGTTATTAACATGCTGGTTTCATTTATTAAAACATTTTGCATTTCTATTCTTGAAAAATGAGTCGATTTTCTTGAGCTATCTTTGTGATTCATTATGAAAATTATACTTGATTTATAAATTTAATTGAGAAGAAATGTACTCCTTTCCACAATGCAGAAAAATGTAGAGAGCATGAGTGTTACCTGTTTCTTACTGATTTTATAGAATTTAAAGCTCTCTGGACCCACAGTTTTAGTGGAAATCCTTAACAGCATGCTCAATTTATTTCCCCGTTTAATACATTTGTTAAATTATCTCTTCTATTTTAAGAAAAGCATAGAAAATAACCCTTTTCATATAGATTTTCCAATGTTAGCTGTAGAAATGTATAGGAGTATTGTTTTAAATCTGTCCCATATTTGTGCCCTCTTGTTTATGTATGGATTTTTGTAGTTTTAGTTTTCTGAATTCTGAATTTTGCTTGATTACCTTTAAAAAAAACTTTGACTATTTTTAGAGTTTACCCCCAAAACTAGCTCCTGCATAAATTTATCATTTTTTCAATTCTCTAATATATTAATTTCTAGTGTTATCTTTGTGATTTATCATACATATTATCATCACATCTTTGCAGGAGAGGAGGCAGTTTGTTTTTGAAAAATTTATTTTCTTTTTTATAGTTCAATAATTAACATATTTGAGACTATGAGTATGCTTCTAAAGACATGTTTTTCTGCCTTAAGTTTTCACATGTTTTTATTCTAATTGGCATTAATATCTAAGACTGTAACTAGGCATATTACTTTGATTCTGGAACTACTTAGTATACTGTTTTTATCTTCTTTCTTTTCAATTTAAAAATGAGTCTATATTTTGTAAGTATTTTATTATTACTTGTTTTTTATTATAGAGTTACGTCAGTCCCATCTTCTGTAATAAATCTGTCTTCTCGTTTGCCAATATTATGACATATTCCTTTTACTTAGCTGTTGTTATGATGTTTATTAGTAAAATCATATCCTGAGTTTTCAGAGTTATTTCTTGTGTGATATATTCTGAGAAGAGAGATATCCAGCTTATGATATTAGTATCTAAATAAAGATACTCAGGAGAAAATTTAGGATTTTTAAACAGCTTCCGAATTTAGAGGCCAAACTCTAAATAAGATCCCATAAGGTTCCACTTGTTTAAAAAGAAATCTTTTGCTCTCCTTACTGCAAAAGTAAACCATAATTCAATTAACTTTTCAAATATCAAGCCATTTGGACTAGAATTAATAATGTGGTATCATAAGGATAAATAAGTTCTGACAAGAGTTCTGTTCTTTAATCCTTCAAAACAAGTAAATAATCAAAAAGGGGAGATGAAGCTTAGCAGAGGCTGACAGGAATTTTTGAACATATCACAAACACAAGGAAAGTCTATAGTGTTTCAAGTTACTCTCTATTGATTTCTCTTTTGTCCTTTCCATCAAAGAAGGCTCATGTTCATTACGATGTGCTCTAGACTTGGAATAGGATGTCCCTGACAGCTGCTAGCAGGGATCCTGGGATGTGTCAGAAGATATCCAGTTTCCTTTGAAACTGGACATTCTGAAGAGAAGCTGCTGTTGTTTTTGATGTTAAAAGCACAAATGCAAAAATGGTCCAAATTTCTTAAGGTCTTACTAGTGTGGTAGGATATATCTGTGAGATGAGTCTCAAAACATGCATGGCTTTGGCCATACAGCATGATTTTAGCCTTCATCAGATTAATATGTGAAAAGCCAGGCCCTCAGTTATTTTCTCTGGATTGCCAAAAATCCTATATTATCTTATATTTGTTTCCAAGTAGTCACAACTGACCTTTCTTCTCACATTTTAGCATCCAGTTTCCACTCTATTTCCCATCACTATACTTGTATTTGTATTTATATTTAGACACTTGGTCCATATGTGAACATTCCTTTTATTATTTATGAATGCATCTCCTCATAACTAGATAATGTCAGTTCTTGCTCTAATATTCATTACCATTTTCAGGAGCCTCCATGTCTTTGTTTTGTAGCAGCAGGGAGGATGTTTAACTATTCAGAATCACAGAAAAACTCCATTCAAATAGAACCAAGAGACCATGATTTTGTCCATCATCTTACAGGTACAAAGTCAGTGCATGACATTCATAAGTTCACACACAGTTTGTCTGTAAAAGATACAGGACTGGAATCTAAGTTTCCTGAATTTAGTTCTGTGTACTTTCATCTACAACAGTCATTTTCTAACTTTTTAAAGGCTCAGAACACTTTACATGATATATGCCCTTGAGTCAAATAATATAAAATAGGAGCTAATTTAAAATAAATGCTGGGGATCTAGACCCTATCTCTTCCACTGCCCCACCTCTTCCCCTTCAGCAGGTCGTGAAGCAACCCTGCAAACACATAATTTGAGAATGACTGCTATGAAAAAGAAAAAAAAATAGAGAACAGAAAAGACAATCGGGAGTGTCAGAGCCCCAGGGAGGCAACCAATTGTGTAGGAAAATAATTTATATTTTAAATAAAATGGTCAAGGTAAACCACAACGAGATGGTGACATTTGAGCAATGACTTAAAAGGAAATAAGGGAGCAATGCATGTGGACATCGGGGTAAACAACATTCCTGGTGGAAGGAACAGCCATTGCAAACTCCTGGGCATGTCCAAGTCCCAGTGAGAAGGTGCATTTGGAAATACAAGAGGGGAAGGTTTCATCTGCTAGCCAGCTAGGTTAAATCAGAGAGCCCTGAGGAGACTTCTGATAACACGTGTTGCAGCTAAACCATCTTTTGTATCATTAATATAACAAGCACTCTCAACCTTCTTATAGGACCAAAACTTCTAATTAATTTGAACCTTCTTAAGTGTGGGTTTGTGCATGCGTGTGTTTAAGTCATTCATATATATTTTTATATATAGGCACACATACAGATATATTGGAAGCTTACCAAAGAGGTTGTTCTAGAAGATATCACTGATTTTTACTATTTGCAGACACTACACCTATTTGATACAGCATCTTTCAAGCTGAGAACATGGAGCTACCTGGGCAAAAGCATTACATGCATATGGGTATAACATAACCACATCTAAGCAAGTGCTTCTGTAGAAGATTCCATCATAGTTAAGTGAGTTGTCTTGCAGTCTGAGAAGGCATGTGGTTTCTTTGACCAGTGATTCAGAGAGACCTTTCCCAATAACTAAGCTTTATCAATCTATTCAATATTCTGTAAAACATTGTGTTCTAATCAAAGTGCCAGTGTCCCTTGACCATCTCATTTCCTTTCCCATGAGATCTACTCTGCCCAGAATGCTTTTCCTCTGGTCTTTCTTTCATCATCGCACAGACTACCTGGCAAGTATCTGTTCATCCTCCAAGAAGAAGTTCATTTATCATCTATTCTGCAGCAAGCAGAGCACGTGGCTTCTTTCTCTTTGCTCCTTCAGCATTCTGCTCCTGGCCTCCTTTGAAGCACAGTTGCATTCCATCATTGCTGTGTATATTTGCACAGGTCTTTGCCTTGTACCACATTGTGAGCTCCTTAAGGACACATAATGACAATTGATTTATTTCTGCATCTACAGACTGAACCCAGTGTCTAATGCACAGTAGACTCTTAATAAATGTATATTCAACACGTGTGAATGAGTTCTATGAGTTCAAACCTATTATGTCGGTACACATGCGAACTAACATTTAGAACATCTATGGAGAAAATTTCCATGTTGAAAATCAAGAAGCTGAACTCCGATATCAGTAACACTTTATATGAAGTTTTTCATTGGGATTAAAAACATATATCATTTTATTGTGCTTCACTTTATTGTTCTTCACAGATATTGCTTTTTTTATTTTTACCAACTGAAGGTTTGTGGCAACCCCACATCAAGCAACTCTGTCGGCACCATTTTTCCAACAGCATGAGCTCACTTCTTGTCTGTGTCATATTTTGATAATTCTTGCAATATTTCAGATTTATTATTATTACTATTATAACTGTTATGGTGGTCTGTGATCAGTGATCTCTGCTGTTATTATTATGGTTTGGGGCACCATCACTCATGCCCACATAAGATGGCAGACTTAATCGATTAATGTTGAGTGTGTTCTGACGGCTCCACCAACCAGCCATTTCCCCTTCTCTCTCCCTCCACCAGCTAAAAGACTACAACTTGCTGAAGGCTTAGATAATCGTTAGCACTTTTTAGCAATAGAGTATTTTTAATTAAGAAATGTACATTATTTAGGCATAATGCTATTGCACACTTAATAGGCTACATTTATATGTATTGGGAAAAAAAATTCCTGCGACTTGCTTCATTACCATATTCACTTTATTGCATTGGTGTGGAAACAAACCCACAACATCTCAAAAGTATGCCTGTATATGTAAAGCAAACCTCCTTGGGTCTCACCCAACATGAACTGGACTTGCACTGAACCATTTTTGACTATGCAGGTAACAGGTCCTGAAAACAAAAATAATCATTCCCATTCAGAAGATGAGATTTCTATATCAGTGAAATAAAGTGCCTTAACAAAGATGCACCCATTCCTTTATTTATTCCACACATTTACTGAGCTTCAGGCACTGTGTTAGATACATCAGTGAAATAAAATACCAAAACCTCTGTCCTTATAGAGGTTGCATTCCACTTGTAGTTAACAAAAAATAATTCACTGATTTAGCAATACAGCAGAAATAGGAGGATCAGTAACACAAGGGATTCTGGAGCAGGTTTGAGTATGAATAGGGTTGTCTGGGTGGACCTAATTAAGAGAGGTAAGCTTTGAACAAAGATTTAGAGGGATAGAGACCTCATAAGAGACCTCAGCCCAGGAGGATCACCTCTAAACTGGAATCTCCTGTAGCAAGGACCCCAGGAAATCAACCTGAATAGCTGAGCAAACGCAGCAAACATTCCTGGCACCGTTTGTTAAGTTCTCCTAGTACCAGTAGCCTGCAGAAATGGCATCCATAAAATATTCTAATAGTATAGCCATCTCCAAGATGAATCTGGTCTATGCATTTTAAAGATAACAAAATGTTTCCATCACCATGGTGCTTTGAAATTATTTTTAAAGATCAAGGAAATTGGCCAATTTGGATGTGTTTAAAATGGAACATATTTACATCACCTTATATATTACCCACCCTTTAACAATGCATTCTGTGCCTATACCAGGGGTACAGTTGTGTCCCCACCACCTTGTGGAATAAACGGGCTAAATAAATGCTGCTGGTAAAAGGCTCAGTGATGATAGATTCATGGCAAGTTCCCTGGAGGTCACTGTTCTTAAGATCGGCTGATGTTTCCTTACTTTGCCAGCACCTATCAGACTGCCATTTGTAGAAAATTGACTTGGGCAGAGCTATCATTATTATTAATATTATTTTATTCTTGCCAGAAACTGCCATTTCAAAGTGTGTTCTTTTCTGGACTGAAAAACAAAATAATGAGCCTGTATTTTTATTTCCTGGGAGGCCACATTCATTTGCATTCATTTACAGTTTAGACTCTCCAGGTCCTATAATTTGCACAATGCTTCTAGAGCCAGGCATATAATCACAGCAGGGGAGAACTGAGTCCCCAAAGCTTAGATATTGCAAGATGCCTAGGTTGTGCTTATGTTGGCTCAGGGGTCCTAGTGCTTTCAGCACCATATCCATGTATGTATGGGCTGAGACATTTCATATAGAGAGATTTGCATCCTAGCTATTGTGCTCAATCTCTGATGGGTCTGAGCCTGTCTGCTCGTAAGTCTGTTTGCACAGGCCAAGCACCATAAATGCGCTCTGTTGAACAATCAATCAGATCCCTGACCTGTCATTTTTTTTTCTTTTGTGGTTGTAACACCAACGTGCATGTATATAGCACTATTAGATAAGTGGCCCCCAGGACAAACCTGATTAGTGATAAAGAGTGACTTTGTGACAAGACACTATTTCTGGTCTTTGACCCCATCTACTCTTAAGCATCCAGACCTCTAGCCCACCTGACTCTAGGAACCTGCAAGGAAATCTCACAGATATTTCCAGGCTTCCTGCTGCTGTGTTTCATGTTATTCCCTTCTCTGCTATTTCTTGTCATGATTTATATCAGCTGCTTAAACCATCAGAGCATCCACAGCAGACAGGGCTGGTCTCTGTTCTGGTT